>NC_000011.10:105354242-105657273 GCF_000001405.40 Homo sapiens | reverse complement strand
CACTTTTGAAAAGCTTGTTTGTTGCAGATAAAATGGCTGAGAAAAGCTTAAGGTTATATTAATCAACAATAATTATTTTCTTAGTGTAGACTTGTTCATTTGGAGTTAACTATTGGAACTGAAGGTTACCACATCCAATAATGTTATTTCCTTGGTTCTGTATTGATTTTCTAGGGCCTTTATTAGACTGAAAGATTTAAAAACTGAACTTCATTGGTTTAACCCTTTTTTTTTCTGGAGCAATAAACCCATCTTTATAAATATACAGGTCATATGGTAGTTTATACTCAGGACTTTAAACCATTTCATTCAATTATCAGTGTACCTTTAATGTATGTTATTTTCTCTGGTTCATTATTGAATTAATAAGTACATATTTTCTGATAGACAGTCTTCCACCCATTAGCTCATTCCAGCATATCATTTTGTCTTTGTAAATAAAAGTTTATTCCTATTAAAATTATGAATATGAAACACATACTGATATTGTTTCTTAAAGAAAACATCACTAATATGTTAAACACATATATTTCTGATCATTTCAATGAAGATTATTGAAAGCTACATTCACTACGAATACTATGACCTTGAGGGAAATAAGTCAAACAAAAAAAATCTAAACGCCTTAAAGAAATGCTCCCTTTGTCACATAAATAGATTGCAAATTTTTTTTCCCATTCTGTAGGTTGCCTGTTCTCTCTGTTGATAGTTTCTTTTGCTGTGGAGAAGCTCTTTAGTTTAATTAAATCCCATTTGTCAATTTTGGCTTTTGTTGGCATTGCTTTTGGTGTTTTAGTCATGAAGTCTTTGCCCATGCCTATGTCCTGAATGGTATTGCTTAGGTTTTCTTCTAGGGTTTTTTTATTGGTTTAGGTCTTACGATTAAGTCTTTAAACCATCTTGAGTTAATTTTTGTATAAGGTGTAAGGGAGGGGTCCAGTTTCAGTTTTCTGCATATGGCTAGCCAGTTTTCCCAACACCATTTATTAAATAGGGAATCCTTTCCCCATTGCTCATTTTGTCAGGTTTGTAAAATATCAGATAGTAATATCCAGAATCTACAAATAATTTAAACGAATTTACAAGGGAAAAACAACCTCATCAAAAAGTAGGCAAAGGATATAAACAGACACTTCTCAAAAGAAGACATTTATGCCACCAACCAATATATGAAGAGAAGCTCATCATCACTGGTCATGAGAGAAATGCAAATCAAAACCACAATGAAATACCATCTCACGCCAGTTAGAATGGTGATCATTAAAAAGTCAGGAAACAACAGATGCTGGAGAGGACATGGAGAAATAGGAATGCTTTTACACTGTTGATGGGAGTGTAAATTAGTTCAACCATTGTTGAAGACAGTGTGGGGATTCCTCAAGGATCTAGAAATAGAAATACCATTTGACCCAGCAATACCATTACTGAGTATATACTCAAAGGATTATAAATCATTCTCCTATAAGGACACATGCACACGTATGTTTATTGCAGCACTATTCACAGTAGCAAAGACTTGGAACCAACCCAAATGCCTATCACTGATAGACTGGATAAAGAAAATGTGGCACATATACACCATGGAATACTATGCAGCCATAAAAAGGATGAGTTCCTGTCCCTTGCAGGGACATGGATGAAGCTGGAAACCATCATTCTCAGCAAACTAACACAGGAATAGAAAACCAAACACCACATAAGTCATAAGTGGGAGTTGAACAATGAGAACACATGGACACAGGGAGGGGAATATCACACACCCGGGCCTGTTGAGGGGTGGGGGACTAGGGGAGGGAGAGCATTAGAAGAAATACCTAATGTAGATGATGGGCTGATGGGTGCAGCAAACCACCATGGTACATGTATACCTATGTAACAAACCTGCACATTCTGCACATGTATCCCATTACTTAAAGTATAATTTAAAAAAAAGAAACTATCCCTTACTATACAAAAAGGTTAGATGTAACTACTCAAAGTCTTCAAAATGCAGTTATTTTCCTCAAGTGATAATATCCAAAATGATGATATGAAACAAAGAACTTTGTTATATTCGAATCACACTAATAATCATGTGTATAATGTAGAAAATTATAAAGTATAATTCTAATACTTTTAAAAAACTGTGTTGCAAGGGAAATGAGGGTGTTGGTAATATTGTGGACAGATTACCTGGAGAATTATGTTATGTGGATATTGCCTTAGTCACAATTAAGAAAAGGGTCTCTACAAGGTTTTCCTTCTCCTGGTTGCCATGCTCAAACACCCATTCTTTTATTAATGATATCAGGATGAGTAAAGCAGACACAAATTAAATAAACAGAAATTAGGGTCAGAAGTATATATGATCTGGGTAGTTTGACCTTGGGAGAGAACAGAGGAGGTTTTTGAGAGGGGTTTGTGAGGACAAAACATGAAGACCAACTTCACTCATCTGAAGTTGTATTTAGGAGTCTGTGTACCAAGACTTGCTACTTGGGGACTTACTAGGTACTCAGACCTGTCACATCCCTGTGAACTTTCTCAGTCATTGTAAGAAATGTATGCAGACTACTTCTGCTGATCTATCTGGTGGTTACTCCTGTATTATGTCATAGAAAGACTTATTCTCCTGTTGGTGTAGCTGTTGTGAGTTGAGTAGCCAGCAATTATACCAGATTGACACAGTAATCATTTTCTCTTCTTTTTACTGTCAATCCCACCCAAAAAGCTAGGATAAGAAGATAAGAAAGTTAACATTATGTGTGTGTGTGTGCAGTTCAAAATGTTAACAGTATATTAATATACACATAATATTATAGATAAAAAAGTATTGTTCTTACGATTATTTTTAAGTTATTATTTTTTAAATTATAAATTGTGGAGTGGCCAGATTGAGTTAATGAACATAGCGTTACATTACATACCTTTTTTTTTTTCAGTGGGGGCACTCTTAGCAATCTTCAAGAATACAATACATCGTCATTAACTATAGTCACAGTCAGCATGTTGTACTATAGATCTCCCAAATTTATTCCTATTTCACTGAAATCCTGTAGCCTTTAACCAACATCTTTCCAGCCCCACCACCACTGCCCCACCATCCCACAAACCTCTGCTAACCATTACCTTACTCTCTGCTTCTATGAATTCAACTTTCTCAGATTTCACAGACTTTCTATTCCTGGCCTATTTCAGTTAATGTCTTCCAGGTTCATCCATGTTGTCACAAATGACAGCATTTCCTTCTTCTTCTTTTTTGTTTTCTTTTTTTTTTTTTTTTTTTTTTTTTTTTGGCTAAATAGTGTTCCGTTGCATATACATACTACATTTTCTTTATTTGTTTTTACTGTTCTTATTTTTTCAGGTCATTTTCCCCCACAAACTAATTGTATTCTAGAGCAAAAACAAAGCCTAACTCAAAATGCTTCTCTCATGCCACCTTCCTACCTGCTCACTTTTTATTCATTCTTCAAGACTTAAGTCAGGATTTTCCCCAGGATGCTTTCCTTGACTCCATGTTTCCTTTCCTGATTTTTCTTTCCACAGCCAAGAATTTTCACATCCTGGGAACATTTCTGTCACAGCACTGACCCTATTATGTTTACCCAGAAATATTTTTCTGAAAAACACTCGCTCACGTTCACCCTAATATAACCTTATTGGTTGGCCAGTACAACAGTCCGTCCTTATCTGAGGCTTAACTTTTTGTAGTTTCAGTTACTTGTTGTCAATGACAATTGAAAAATATTAAATAATTCATAAGTTTTCAATTGCATGCCATTCTTAGCCATGTGATGAAGTCTTGCACTCTCCTGCTCAGTCATGCCTGGGACATGAGCCATCCCCTTTATCCAGAGTCACCATGCTGTGCATGCTGCCCGCCTATTGGTTACTCAGTAGCTTTCTGAGTTATCAGATCGACTGTCACAGTTTCACAGTGCTTGTGTTCCAGTCATCCTAATGTTACTTAGTCCCAGAGTGCAAGGGTAGTGATGCTGGCAATTCATGTGAAAGAGAAGCTGGAAAGTGTGCTACCGTCAGATAAAAGGATGAAAGTGCTCAAATAAATAAAGCAAGAAAAGGCCGGGTGCGGTGGCTGACGCCTGTAATCCCAGGACTTTGGGAGGCCGAGGCGGGCAGATCACAAGGTCAGGAGATCGAGACCATCCTGGCTAGCACGGTGAAACCCCGTCTCTACTAAAAATACAAAAAATTAGTCGGGTGTGGTGGCGTGTGCCTGTAGTCCCAGCTACTCGGGAGGCTGAGGCAGGAGAAGGGCATGAACCCAGGAGGTGGATGGAGCTTGCAGTGAGCCAAGATCGTGCCACTGCACTCCAGCCTGGGTGACAGAGCCAGACTCTGTGTCAAACATGAATAAATAAAGCAAGAAAAAAAATGTATGCCGAGGTTCCTAAGATCTAGAGTAAGAACAAATCTTCCATCTGTGAAACTGTAAAGAAGAAAAATAAATCCAAGCATAGTGTATGTGGAGAGTTTGGTACTATCCTTGGCTGTAGGCATCCACTGCAGGTCTTGGAATGTATTCCCTATAGATAAGGGGATACTATGGTGTAGCATAATTGATTGATTAACACCCTGAATACATGTATGAATCAGCATGAGTCATAAAATATTGTCATAAAAAAGAAGCCCAATTTCCTGGAAAATAAAAAAGGCCACAACTTATCTGAAATGAAGAGGCAGAAAGCTCTAGTTGATAGCTTCACATCATCTGGAAAATCAATTTTGTAAAACTATTGGGTGGCTACTCTATTCTCTTCATTCTGATTAACCACAAATAAAAGAAACTCCGTTAAAAAAATCCTAAGAGTCAAAGTTGAGTGTCCTCATCTTACTGGTTACACTGGAAGCCTGTGTTAAAATAGAAAACTCTACTCAGCCCAGCCTACCTCGAGTCAGTTTAGATAAAAAGCTTGAGAAGGATCTGATGGGCTTCTTTCCATTTTCTCATTCTTTCTCGGTATGTTCTTGTTCCTGTGCTTTCTAATCTTCTACAATTCTAATTTTCTTTCTTCTATTCTTCTCTGCTTCAACTTAGAATGACTTGGAACCTAATTATGTTTTATATCCTTATTACTCATTGATTTAAAAAAATCCTTGAGTCCTCTTCTTAATACAATGAAAATGCTGAATGTTTGTCATAAAATATCAGTAAATTTCAATCCCTTTCTATAGGCATAAGGGTTTTTCAGTAACTGTATTAATGACCCTTTACAGAAAAGGAGTCTTTATGCCTGATAAGTGTAAAATATCAGAAAGTTAACTTCACTTTTCTGAAACACTCAACTCTGGCTCCAGTAGTATATGAAGCTCTAAATTAAGTTAAAGGTGTTTAAAATGCATTACTTTGTATTTGGACCTGTTTCATCAGCAATACTTAAGTACTGTGTTGGTCAGCAAGTGACAGAGTCCCATTAATTAGCTCAGGGACCAGTGTTATTCATTCTTTTGGCATTGAAGCAATTCTCATTACATCTAAGCTGATATGGGAATGATAAATGACAATAGGCTACTACAAATGTTACTATATATTGAGCCAAAGTAATGGAACCTCAAGCAGAAGTGTGCAGAGGAAAACAGTGCAGTGATATGGAGACAATATAAAGTGTTATCACAGTGTCATAAACAATTTGAGTGTATTTGAAAAGCACTCCAGTGGCTAATGAAGCCAAAAGATAGGTCTTCATTAGGAAAGGACTCCAACAGTTCAGGCATAACCCAGCCAGTTACATCCCAAATAGTGATCTGCAACATTACTGAGCATCACAATTATCTGGAAAAGTTTTCTCTAAAAAATGAGAGAGGAGAGAGATTCCCGTGTCCGTCTTACTATGTCTTCCATTTCTTCACCAAAGTTTCTGAGTTGATATATCTGAGTATTTTCATAAATATCCTAGATGATGCTAATGCAGGTTTGGGAATCACAGATTCAGAAATAAGTGCACAAATGCTTCAGTTTACCTAATACAGTTGTAGACTTCGAAGAGGTCATGAGCCAAATCAAAGTATGCATTATTTAAGGAAAATATTACTTGAAAAAAAGTATTTACATTGATTGCCACTTTATACTGGTATTTTCAGTGACTTTATAAATTAGGCATAAAAATTCATCTTTTGTGAAGTTTTATTTTACCAAAGTTAAGTAGATTTCACTTGTATTTAATAAGTTACTTGAAAATTGACAAGTGATATCCATGAGATACTGATCTCCCTGAAATTTCATTTTGTAAATAGAAAAGTTACAAGATTAGATTTGCTATAAATCACGTATTTCAATTGATTAAAGTGTAAAATGTTTGCACAAACAACCACCTACTTTAACATATTGAGGTCTACCCTGTTGACCGATATAATCTTGCTAGAAGAGGGGCCTGTTAGAGATAATTTTCTTATTATTCACGTGTTGTCTAATTTTAGTGAGAATATTTATAGACAATCTTCATCTGAGATTTCTACAGGAAAAGCCAGCTTGTCATTTGAAAGTCTAAAGTGAACGTATTTCATGGACCATCTGCATAAATAGCCTTGGGATGCTCAGGAAAAAAATCCAGTTCCTTTGCCCTACACTAGACCAACTGGATCAGAATTGCAGAGACTCAAGGGCAGGAATTCATATTTTTAAAAAGTGTCTGCCCTTCCTAACTAGAGATTCTTATGCACACCAAAAGTTGAAACACTTTGATTAGAATCTAAACTGTTTTCCTTGTCTTGATGTGTTCAAGAGTTTTAGGTTGTTGTCAAGTCTTTTTCAATCATGGAAACATTTTTTTTTTCAGACTCTTGGTTGTTACATAATAAAATATTTAAATTTTACACATTGTCACCACTGGTGTCCTATTTTCCATTTTCAGAGAGCTGCTCTAATTATAAGGAAGCCTAAGGATAAGGTAGATACTGGGAATTCCCACTGCATGGAAATAGGACAAGTTGCTTTAATTTATCTGATAGTCACTCTCTTCTGGGAAAATACCCTCATTGAGATTTACAATCTTCAAGGCCTCCACATAAAAATGAAGACTGGATGAACCCCAAAAGAAGTGAGACTTGCAACAACCAATAAAAGAAAGTATTTCTGCCATTTTCAAGTTATAATTTTGAAACATTTGTAAATGTAGAATAGTTTAATGAAACATCATTTAATTATTCCCTCAACACTCATTCAATGAATATTTTTGCACATTATTTTCTAAATGCCTTTTCTTCAGACAATTATTTATGTGGTTGAAATTATATTATACACATGTTGGTTTGGGTTCTGATTTTATTTTTCTGTTTTAACATATTCTCTCAAAGCTATTTTCTTAGATAATTCAAAATTGTAAGCATCATTTCTTTAGTGTATTATATGAGTCAATTCTATGGGAGATTCATTATTTCAATAATTATTCCTGTATATTTGAACATTTAGGTTGTGAAATTAGAATAATTTACAATATTAAAAATAATGCTCAAATCTACCTCTGTGTTGTTGAGATAGTCATTAATTTACAGATCAAAGGTTATAAACATTTAAAAATTCTTGATAAATATAATAAAATTATTTTTCTGAAAGATGAAGCCAATTAAAACTCGCAGTAGTATTGTACAATAATGTCCACAAAGGAAATCTCATAAAGTTTGACTTTTATCCTTTTAAAAGAATTACTAATTTGTTATGAAATAGGCATGTTGCTTTTGCATAAGTTATTTTTAGTTATACAACAAAGAAGAAAGGTTATATGTATAGGCCAGTACTAATGTAGATCAAAGAGAAAGCTGAAGTGTTTGGCTCTATCTTAAACCTTGTCTATCAAATAGAATTGAGAACAATGGAATGGTAAAAACATCATTTAAGACAAAATCAAAAGCCAAGAATTGGATGAAATAATCTTAATGGCACACATTGTTTTCTAAATGAATTCACATTCTATATCAAAGTTTTGAAAGATCTTATAAATGGACATGCTGAAACATTCTCCGAGATATTTAGCTGAGATAAACAAAATAATTAATTGTCTTTTAAAATATATTATACCTTTATTACTTAACTCTCTGATCTATTATAATATATTACTACTAATGCATTTCTATTGATTTCTTCCTAAGATATCTTATGGTTTTTGTTTTATATATGTCAATAACAAAGTTTGATATATTATTTATGAAAACTTCATTGTGACTTATTTATAGAGTTGTAAGTAGCAAGGGAACTTTTTGGTCTTATTTAATGTTTTTCTGCATTAACATCAGCTTTGTTTGATAGGCACAATAGCATGAGTGTGGCAGTGAAGGTGATGAGCAATGGACCCAGATGGCCCCAGCTGGAACCTCCGTCCTACTTCTCATAAGCTAGGTCACCCTGAGAAAATCCGTTAGCTTCTCTAGTCCACAGTCTGTAAAACGGCAGTAATTTTAGGTTGGTGCAAAAGTAATTTTTATTTAATGACTGGTTTCGGTCATTAAAAGTAATGGCAAAAATCACAATTACTTTTGTACCAACCTAAGTACCTATCTTAGATGTTATTAAAATGATTGCATGAGTTATCAGGCATAGGCCAAATGCTGAGAATAGTGGCACTCATTTGTTGGTTTTTATTATTACAATTTTCTACCTTTTAGCCTCTCTCGATTTCTCTTTCTCCAGATTGTTTCTTTTCTTTCTCTGCATCCTTCCCTTCCTAGTTCTTTCTTTTTTTTTCCTTTTTGCATTTATTAATATCTTTGCAAATTTTTTTCTTTTTGCATTTATTGATATCTTTGCAAATATTTTATCTTTAAACTCTTTGAGGCATTCAAATTGGTTGTGTAAACTTTAGCGTATAAAGCATTATTTTATATACTATAAAAAGCATTATTTTAAATAATATTTAAATAATTTATCCAATTTTTAAAAATAGAATATTTATTATTGTGTAAATATCCAATTACTATAATCTTATTCTATACTTTTAAGTTTTCTCTATTTCCATAATATTTTTAAAATTTTCTATCTTTTGCTCCACAGTTGTGTATTCTTCAGCCATTTCCCTACTTCCTTTTGGAAAAAATATAAATTAGTTACCTTAAAAACTCTAGATGACATGCTTATTTATCTCACTATATCGACTTCCACTCTCCACAGTGTCTTTTATCATACTTTCCTCCACTATGTCATTTATCTTCTAATCTGTATTTTTGTAAACACATTTTTGTAACAGTGAGTTATATATAATTTGATATTATTTTTATACTCTATTGCTTTTATTTCCAGAATTAAACCTGGTTCCATTTTTCAACAATAATCATTAGTAATTTATGACTATTTATTTATTTATTTATTTATTTATTTATTTTCATACAGGGGCTCCCTTTGTCACTCAGTCTGGAGTAAAGTGGCACAATCATGGCTCACTGCAACCTCAACCTCCAGGGTTCAAGGAATTCTCCCACCTCAGACTTCCAAGTAGCTGGGACTACAGGCACGTGCCTGATCCTCTTCCTCCTCCTACACTGCACCCTCCAAAAGGCCCCTGTGTGGGTTGTTCCCCATTATGTGTCCATGTGCTCTCATCATTGAGCTCCCGCTTATAAGTGAGAGTGTGCAGTATTTGGTTTTCTGTTCCTGCATTAGTTTGCTGAAGATAATGGCCTCCAGCTCCATCCATGTCCTTGCAAAGGACATGATCTCGTTCTTTCTTATGGCTGTATAGTTTTCCATGGTGTATGTGCACCACATTTTTCTTTATCCAGTCTGTCACTGATGGGCATTTAGGTTGATTCCAGGTCTTTGCTGTTGTGAATAGTGCTTCAGTAAACATAGATGTGCATGTGTCTTTATAAAACCATGATTTATATTCCTTTGGATATATACCCAATAATGGGGCTGCTGGGTCAAATGGTATTTCTGTTTTTAGATCTTTGAGGAATCATCACACTGTCTTCCACAATGGCTGAAATAATTTACACTCCCACCAACAATGTATACGTGTTCCGTTTTCTCCCCAACCTCGCCAGCATGTTATTTTTTGACTTTTTAGTAATAGCCATTCTGACTGGTATGAGATGGCATCTCATTGTGGTTTTGATTTGCATTTTTCTAATGACTAGTGGTACTGAGCTTTTTTCATATACTTATGGGCTGCATGGATGTCTTCTTTTGAAAAGTGTCTGTTCATGTCATTTGCCCATTTTTAATGGGTTTATTTCTTTCTTGTAAATTTAAGTTCCTTACAGATGCTAGATATTAAATCTTTGTCAGATGACAGTTTGCAAATATTTTCTCCCATTCTATAGGCTGTCTGATCACTCTGCTGATAGTTTGTTTTTCTGTGCAGAAGCTCCTTCATTTAATTTATTCATTTAGTAAATCTCTTTTGTCAATAGTTGCTTTTGTTGTAATTGCTTTTGACATCTTTGTCATGAAATCGTCACTGGAGCCTATGTTCTGAATGGTATTGCCTAGGTTGTCTTCCAGGGTTTTTATAGTTTTCAGTTTTACATTTAAGTCTCTAATCTGTCTTGAGTTAATTTTTGTATATGGTATAAGGAAAGGGTCCAGTTTCAACCTTCTGCATTTGGCTAGCCAGTTATCCCAACACCATTTATTGAATGGAGAATTCTTTCCTCATTGCTTATATTTGTCAGCTTTGTCGAAGATCAGATAATTGTAGGTGTGCAGTCTTATTTCTAAGTTCTCTATTCTGTTCCATTAGTTTATTTGTTTGTTTTGTACCAGTACCAAGCTGTTTAGGTTAGTGTAGCCCTGTAGTATAGGGCTACAGTTTTAGTATAGTTTGAAATCAGGTGGTGTGATGCCTCCAGCTCTGTTATTTTTGCTTAGGATTTCCATGGCTATTGGGTGATTGTCTAATTTTTAACTATTTGTAGAGACAGAGTCTCACTATGTTGCCAAGGCTGGTATCGAACTCCTGGGCTCAAGCAATCCTCCATTCTAGACCTCCCCAAGTGCTGGAAATACAGGTGGAGCCACCACGTCCATCTTGAATTACTGTGTAAACAATTATATTTTCCTCTGAATCTTCAATACGATAAATTTCCTACTAAGTTTTGTATTTGACCAAATTTTCTGTTTATTGAAATACATTTTCTAGTACTACTTTTAGAGACTGTGATAGGTGACTTATGTTCCAAATTATTGCATGTTTGATATTGCTTTCACATCTAAGTAAGCACATTGCTTGGTAAACATTCCTAGCTAATATGGGTTTCCCTCAATTCCTGTACATAATATCACAGTACCATCTCTTAGCTAATATTAATGGAAAATGTCAAAGACCATACTGATTTTTTATTTTGCCTTGTAGGTAATCTCCTTCTTCTTCCTTCATGGCTTCTAGGAAATCTTTCTTTACCCCAATTTTAACCAGCTCACTGGAATATAACAAACTCTTTCTATGTAGAGATTGAACTTTTGTTCAAGATAAGCTTTCTTGTACTCATTTCTGCAAATTTTTTCTGCTCTAGGTTATCTGTCTTCAGAAAATTATTTCTATGTTCGATCAACACTATCTTTCATGGCTATAATATCTTATCTGTCATTACTTTTGTTCTGGTTCTGCAGCTCTACATTGTGTGCTATTTTTTTCCACTGTATCCTCCTTTTCTTTTATTCATTGACTTAAAAATGCTAATTCTACTCAGTGGTGTCCTTCTTGTCATTTTTAAAGGAAGTTTTGTAGAGTTACCCTAAAATTCTTTGTTGCTTTTGTTGTTTTTATAATCTTCACTTCTTAATCTGGGCAATTCCACCCATTCCTATTAATTGCCCCAAAATAGTGTTGATGAATTGTCTTTGATTTCCCCTCCCTGTTGAAACAGATGCTGTCGGAATTTTCTCTGTAATCTTTGAACTTGTTGCTTTATTTGGTTATTCAGCTGCTTGAAGGAGGGTATAAGCAGGCCCTGAGGCAAGAGACAGCTGCATTCTGGGTTTGTTATTTCTGCTCACTTTCCTTTCAAATCAGTTGACTCCCCTGCCAAGGAGCATATCTGAATTTTGTCATTCTTCAGTGTTGGCACAAGTAGCTCACTCTAGCAAGATAGTTGTTGTGTCACAAATTCTTTTTAATGGGACTTATGTAAAGTGTCTTTTTGCAGCTACAAGGTTTATCTCTTCACTTCTTTCCCCCGACCCATCTCTTTTCTGGCTCAGCTTTGCCTTCTCACCACCCTTCCTGATTATGAAGCTGCATCTGCAAACCAAAATAGAATGGTCGTATTGCGCCTCTTCAGCCCTGTGGCACCTGCAATTGTCTGGCTGGGAGTGGGGTGGAGGTCAAGAGCTGGAAGTTTCTCGTTTCTCCTACCAGTCACGCACTGCTTAGCTCCCAGGCCTCCCACTTCCAAAATAGAAGGAATTAGTAAGACCTTCTAGAAACTTATTACTTGCTTCTTATACACTGTTCCTTCCTATCGATTCAGGAGCACATATATTAAAGATTACTATTTATTCTCTTTCACCTAAGTAAAATAATACCTATTATTTAAAATTACATATTGTGATGTAACAGTGTGGGCTATCATTTCCTAACTCTCAGCATAAGTAAAATTTCTTTAAGGTTTATCTTATGCCAATGTGCCCTTACCGTATTTCCTAGCAATCCCTTTTCAACTATTCAAATACAATTTTGATTTTCTAAAAAGATAAAAATGGTATTTTTTAATTATTTAATTAATTAATTTAGTTTTTGAGATGGAGTCTGGCTCTTTCACCCAGGATGGAGTGCGATTGCACGATCTCAGCTCACTGCAACCTCCATCTCCCAGGTTCAAGCAATCCCCTCACCTCAGCCACCTGAATAGCTGGGACTACAGGCGCCTATCACCACACCAGGCTAATTTTTTTTTTTTTTTTTGTATCTTTAGTAGAGACAGGGTTTCACTATGTAGGCTAGGCTGGTCTCAAACTCCTGATCTCAAGCAGTTCCCCACCTTGGCGTCCCAAAGTGCTGGGATTACAGGCGCGAGCCAAAGGTGCCTGGCCTAAAAAGATAAAGTGTTAGACTCAACAATTATAGACCACTGAGCTTGATGTGGCTTTGGGACAGCAAAGAGGGGCATGAGACCTCATAGCATGGTAGTCACTTTCTCCGAAAAAATCTTTCAATAATCCTTTCTCCCACCACACATTTTTTTTCTCCTTAAATTAGATGAGTTGTTTCAAAATCAGGTAGTAAATAATTTCCTTTGAAAATTTTTCTATGCTGGTTTTTTCTCATACTCTTCTGATATCTGATGTCAATCATATTGATAACTCAGTTAAAACCAAGGCAAGGGCCAGGAGTGGTGGCTCATGCCTGTAATCCCAGCACTCTGGGAGGCCGAGGCAGGTGGATCACCTGAGGTCAGATGTTCAAGACCAGCCTGGCCAACATGGTGAAACCCTGTCTCTACTAAAACTACCAAAATTAGCCAGACACGGTGACTTGTGCCTGTAGTCCCAGCTACTGGGGAGGCTTAGGCAGGAGAATCGCTTCAACCTGGGAGGCAGAGGTTGCACTGAGCAGAGATGATGTCACTGCACTCCAGCCTGGGTGACAGAGCAAGACTGTGTCTCAAAAAAGCAAAAACAAAAAACAACACCACCAAAAAAAATTTAAAAACCTGAGGCAGGAATATTGCATCTAACACTTTGTTAGAAGAACCACTACCCCCTTTTCTATAACCACTGAGTAGTCTTAACACTAGTCTCATGAGGCTAATTCTCACCATTACTGTTGTAGGAGACCAGGAACGAAAGAGAGCCAAGGATATCAGCACCTGAGCAAAGCATATGGCAGAGTGTCTTTAAAATCCCTGAGTAAATCATAAAGAAACATGGGGTAAAAATAGATGAGAGAGTCAGCTTTAAAGCTGGTTAAATAATTGTACCTAGAGGTGCTGACAATTGATAGATGACAATTATTTCCTAAAGTAAAACAATGTTAAGGAATCCTATAGGATCTTCTCCTTTTCTTGATCTTAACATTGATGTCACTTCCTTGAATGTTATCATAATATTCTCAGAAAGCAAAAAACAGATAGAATGATGAATATAGAAAACTGTAATGAGCTATGATCTATAGCTGAAATAAAATATAAGATATGAGATGTTTGATTTGGTTTGGCTGTGTCCCCATTCAAATCTCATCTTGAATTGTAGTTCCCATAATCTCCACTTGTCATGGGAGGGACTCAGTAGTTGGTAGTTGAATCATGGGAGTGGTTTCCCCATGCTACTCTCATGATAGTAAGTTCTCATGAGATCTTATGGTTTTATGAGGCTTTTCCCCCTATTGCTCAGCACTTCTCCTTGCTGCTGCCATGTGAAGAAGGTTGTGTTTGCTTTCCTTTTGCCATGACTGTAAGTTTCCTGAGGCCTCCCCAGCCATGTTGAACTGTGAGTCAATTAAACCATTCCTTTATAAATTACTCAGTCTCTGGTATGTCTTTATTAGCAGTATCAGAATGGACTGACATCATGCTATACTTTCACAAAAATAAATTTACCTGAATAGTTATGGTATGTGGGGGACAAGGCTTTGCAATAGAATTAAACATAGACAAGATTTTAAGCTATGTGTACTTGATTCAACAATATCAAGCAAACTTATTTGGTATTAATACGAGTCCAACAGAAGTCCCAACTTCAGGATCTAGGACATGTAGTCTAGACCAATTAGATACATCTGGTGTTTTCTGGAACTTTGGTGGGTAGATGAGTGTGTGAGAAGAGGTGCTGGCGACAGCCTTTTTTTTTTTTTTTTTTTTTTTTTTCATTAAAATTGAGAATGTTGATTATATAGCCTAGTTAAGAAATACTTTTTTATGACTGCCAAGATTTAGGCCCCAACTTAGGAGCAAGGGTCACCTCTAACCTTTCAGGAAGTCTTGGGTGTGACCCACTGCATAAATGGAATTTCACCATAATATTTAACAGACTCAAAGTGTACATACAAGCTTGTTTCATAAATAAGGGATTTCAATCAAGATCCATGAATGATGCAGTTTAACATGTGTTCTCAGCTTGCCTACTGACCACCTTTCCTTTTCTAAATATGCAACAGCACAGCAAGTCTTGCAAGTGACATGTTGTGGGATAAATTGTGTGCCTCTAAAGCTTCTGCATTGAAGTTACAACTTCCCAGTACCTCAGAATGTGACTGTATTTGGGGGACAGGGTCTTTAAAGAATCGAGTTAAAATGAGGTCATTAGGGTGGGCCCTAATGCAATATGACTGGTGTTCTCATAAAAAGAGGAATTAGGACACAGACATGCAGAGAGGGAAGACCATATTAAGACACAGGGAGATAATGGCATCTACAAGCCAAGGAGAAAGGCCTCAGAAGAAACCACCTTTGCTGCCTCCTTGATCTCAGACTTTCGGCCTCCAGAATTGTGGAAAATAAATTTCTGTTGTTTAAGCCACAGTCTGTGCTACTTTGTTATTTCTGTTGTTTAAGCCACAGTCTGTGGTACTTTGTTATGACAGCCCTGGCAAACTGATACAGAGCAGTTTTGTATGCTGTAAGAAATAGACTACTAGTAACACTGCTTTGGGCCTAGTAACACAGTGTGGACTGAAGGGCATTCTTTCTACTAAAAGTGGTTAAGGATGGGAAGGTATCTAATTTTATATGACTGGGAAGTGTATTGGTGAGTAACATCACCAAAGGGCCCTTTGGATTCACATGACCAAAACTAGTAGTGACACAGGATGATGTCATATGGTTGCCCATATGTTTGTAAGATATGCTCTATCTTGATGTATTCAAGGATTCTTTGTAGACTAAAAAATATATCCTCCAAATCAGAGATGTCTTACTTGCCAGGTCTGTTTCCATTTATACACTCTATATTCTAGTCTTAGCTAAGTCATTAAGCAGAAAAATTATTCCCAAGTTTCTGCTACAGTAACTGCTATAAGGAGCATGAGTGACAAGAGTGGGCTGAGAAGATAGTGGCTATGGTGAGTGACGGCAAAAATTGAATGCAATAGAAGAATTTAAGTTTAACTTAAGACCTGCCCTTAGGTCTAATGTCTGTAGTGCTCAGATTAAAATTAATATAGTTGATAATTTCAGAATTTTATTTAACATATGAGGGTAATAATTATTCTTACTAGTTACTCACTAAATGCTAATATAAATTCTAGATCTAAAAAATAAATGAAAGCTCTATTTTATTTTACTTTTACTTTCTTCAAAATTATGACAAATATTGGATAAACATTCTCATAAACATTATAAGTGCTCATTAATAGCTATAGAGCAATGTTCCATGATTGTAAACATAGTTATTTATCATAAAAAATAATAATTAGGCTAAGAATAATGTTATAAAACATATTCTGTTTGAGGCTTCAGAACATCAAATTAATGTAATTTATTTTTACACGTTAAAGGAATAGAAAACCAAAGAATAAGCAAAGGAAATGGAATATTGAGAAACATATTAAAAAGAGAGCCAAACAAAATGAAAATAATTAGCTATGACTAGTTATCTAATTCTAAAATGCATAACAATATTCAATGTGATGAAAAGGATGTCATCATACACTGCCTGTGGACACATATGTCCATTTGGAAAGCAATTTCACAGTAAATGTCAAGAACCTTTAAAATAGAAATATATTAAATAGAAATAAGTAGAAATGTGGTCAAATTGTTACTTAAAATTGTCAAACACTGGAAAAAATAAAAACATTTAAAACATGAATTACTAACATTCATAAAATAATTACTTGGTAATTAAAAGAGTATTTTTGAATAATATCCAATGGGAAAATGCCTAGAATAAAATGTTAATCTGGAATAGAACAATATATATTATAATTAAGTGTCTATAAAATAGTAAAATTAGTATGTGCATTTTTATTATTTGATAGTAGAATTATTATTTTAATTGTTTTGTTTGTTATAACCGCATTTTTCAAATTGTCTACCCCCAGGTATGTTAATTTTATAATTAAAAATATACATCCAAATAAACACAAAAGTGTAAATGTGTTGCTAAGAAATTCTGAGAATACAAGAAAAATATGAGATTTTAAAATTAATTTTCTTGTTTTGCATTTTTGGGCTTTGAAATTCTTATGAAACATCTAGCTTTTTAAGTAAGCAAATGTCTTCCCTTTATTTTCCTTTTCTGAATGTTAGGGAAACATCTGCATCAGATCATTTGTCAGAAATGAACTAGATTGTATTTCAAAAGCTGAAATGTAGTTATTAATTAATATAAATGTTGATGCTTTCATAATAAAAATATTATCTACCTATTTTTCCCATTAATCATTTATTACTGATTTAAAAAATCATTACAAGTATGACAAATGCTGCCAAGATATAAGCAGCATAAAAAAATAGGAAACATGTATTCATTGTCATTTTCATATTTCAGCGGAAATTAAGATGTAATCTGTAAAAGGGGCTGTGAAAAGTGTAGTGTTTACTGCTCTATTCAAAGTTTATGATTTGTTACTACTTTTATATCAGTAAGGTTACTATGGAACAATGGAAGAACACTGGACACTAACTAAAAAGATACAGATCAATAATTTCAGCTGTGTTGAAACTGCATCATGTCACTTTAGGAAAGTAATTTAATTTTCCTGGTAAAAGAAACAACATTATTTATAGATACCTCCTAATTAGTTTATAATGATCATGGTTTTATTTTAATGTGAAAAGTATGATAGCAACATCATTGTAAATTAAAAATGTACAGGGTATGATTTTGAAATAAAATACTACATTGAATATGTAAGATATATTGAACTTTTCTTAGAAAAAATTCTTGGAATTTTTCATTTAATATTATTTCTATTTTCAAAAATACTGTGACATACGAGAAATAATTGACTCTAGTCATGAATAGGAAATATGACTGCGATGCTGAGATCTTCATATGGCAAGAGACCTCAGATCCCTTTTACAGCTATTATTCAAATATTGTCATAAAACTAACTTATAGTCATGAAATTAATTCCCTCTGTTTAAAAAGAATTTTAAAATATATTTTGCATTTGTACTTGTTCCTTCACCAACTTTATCTTTCTACTTTTATCCCAAAAGTAAATCAGTGAACTTAATGAATGCAGAAATGCTCAATTCAGAGTTGGAAAGAGAAGGAACACTAAATTAGATCTGACATAGCATGAATATTCTCTCCTCCCCATGGAGTTAATGTGATTAAGTAAGTATTCCCATTCCAAGTAAAAGGGAAATAAGATGCATTTTTGGCTTTATGTTTATTTGCTTTCTTGGTTGGTTCATCGTTTTAAGAGAAAATGAAGACATGCTACTGAAATATTGAGTATTTAAGGAAATGTTTGCTGATTGTCTCCTACGTGTGTACTACACTGATTTGAAAATAGCTTAGGTAATAGAAAAGGATTTGTCGGCAACTTCACTAATAAAAAAGTTAAGGATGATAAGGAAGGAAAACAAAGAATAAATGTTATCTTGGGAAAGCAAGAGGAAGGAAGAGACAGTGAGCTCTGATCATTCAAGGAAAGATAGAAAAAGAAATAAAGTAATTCCCTAAGAGTACAGATAAAGTGAAAGAATGATGGTAAATTTGAGGTATTATAAAGGCAAAATTGTAAAAAACTAGGATCAATTAAGAGACATTGAAATAGAGTAAATGGAGAATAGTGATTTTTAATAAAAAATGCTAAATTGTCATATATGTTATTTAAAAAGGAGTGCAAATATGCACTGCTATGGGAGAAACTAGTATGGAGAAAACACACACACACACACACACACACACATACACGCGCACCTCGTAAGGCACAGATTCCAGATGAGAAAAATCTGTATTTGAAAACATCACTACTTTGCCCTGATCATATTTATTTAAAAGTGATGTACGTATTACTTACGGAATAAAACAATATGATCTAGAGAATCCAGTTGTCAGCAGGTTCAGGGTAGCTGCAACTACACTCTGCTTTTGGGCCTTGTTTGTGGATGCTCCAGGCCTTGTTAGCCTGTAGTTGAACACAATATTTCTGATCCATCTCTTTCACTCCATCTTTCACTGTTCCTATCAGCATGACCTGCCTGCTACTTTGGTTTAACATCAATCACCATGCATGGCTTCCATTAGTGTTCCAGCTGACAACTTTGGGATTTCTTTGGGGGAAGTTTTTCATAATCGCATTCTTGCAGATCCCAGCATTAAGAACTACTATAGTTCTATCAGAAAAAGCAACCTGTGTCATCTATCAGGTAACACTGTGACATTAGTTCAAACGCACAAAACATATTAGTAGCAAAATATACCATTATAAGAATTTAGAAAACATCATGTTGTACACGATTAAAAATACACAATTATTTGTCAATTTAAAAATAAATGAATGAAATTAAAAAAGAATTTAGACTCAGATTATCTATGTTAACTTGCAACCAGTTTTTCATCGGTGATAAGCCATCCTCCTTCATGGTCATTTGCACCTGGGCTTAGCTTTTAAGAATCTTTATGTTCAAATTGCATTTTCTCTTACCTACTTGTTAAAGTAAAAATATGCTATAATAGCCCTCGAATATGAGTTATTAAAAATCTGCTTAGGTTTCAAAGATGCACTGCCATATTCTCCTGGCTTGGAAATTTCTCTGTCCTTGAAACATGCAGGAGACACTCTCCTAAAACATGTCCTAAAACAGGCAGGTATTTACCACTCTCTAGTCTACATGTTAACTATCTATTTACATGTTTTATTTCTCCTACTACACTCGAAACTTCATGAGGGCAGAGTATTTATTTGACTTTTCTTTGAATTCTCTGCAGTGCCCAGTATGGTATGATGCATACGGTAGACACTCAGTGAATATTTACAAAAAATTGTGCTAACAAATGCAAACCTATTTCCTGAGATAATTCATCTTACACAATGTGCACTAAATCCAGTGATACTATTCCTCAGAGAAATTCAATCCAACTTAAAAGCATTACTTTTTAAATAGCAATTATATTATAATAAAATTGTATATAATGTTATTGTAAGCAAAAGGATTGTTTAAAGGTGACAGGTGTAGAATTCTATTGTTAATATCATGAAATGTATTAACATAATTATGTATTTCCACTTCCAATGTTAAGGATAACAAAGCTTCTAATCATACCTCATATCATTAAAATTATCTAGCTTCATAAAACTATTTTTAAATGGTTATTTTTTCCACAATAATGGAGAGCACAAAATATCTAAGTTAAACGGCATTTGGTAGAGTTTTAATCTTATAAACGTTCTAAATTCTTCTCTGTCCCCTACTTGAGATTTTAGATTAACAATATCACTAAAATCATTTTGTATTGCAACATGCTGAGGTAATTGTTCTGTTAAAACCAACTGAAAAGGCAGCAGATTGAATGATTATGTGGTAAAATTCAAACACATCAGACTGAGGGGAATGGGATGGTTTGATGGTAGCTACATACACTGCACTGATTCAGTTCTAGCCAAGTGCAGTTAGACCTGTGCATTTTTGCCTCTGTGGTTTATTTGAATTGGTTCGCTGTTGAGGGACACTGTCACTCCATGCCATCGTTTTATGATTTCCCTTTACAAACAGCTCATGGATTAAATAAGCATCCTTTTTTTCCAAAGCATATGTTAACAATGACCTTGTCACACCAGTGAGGAAGTATCACCATATGGCTGCATTAAATGAGGCTAGACTTTAGAAAATGGACTTCCAAAACCTGGGAACACAAGGGAAAAAGGGGAGAGGTGGTGGAAATCCTTTCTATTTTAGGCCTGGAATTGTAGAGATCACTTGGGTGATTATGTCTATGGAGAAAAGAAAATGATAAAAACATACAATGTTTTGATTTGGTATGTGTGTCAGGTAGGGTAAGGAAAGTAAAGGAGACTTTGAATAAAAAGTCACTCTGAACTTTAAAAGAGTCTGACCTTGAACAAAATGTAAAATGGCAAGATATTCTTGAGGGACAAAAATGAAAGTGATGGGAAATTATGAGAGAAGTATAGAATATTATACTATTCCCACTTTTGCAATTTTGATTCCCCATTGCCTTAAAATGTACATTTCATGAACAATACCTGTCTTTAATAAACATGAAAATGTTATACTATTAGACATCCAATTTGAAAAATCATCTAATAAGAACTGAACTGATGAAAAGCAAGAAGGTACTTGTCTTTTACTCTTTTTGTATTGGAAGCTCCTTATTTTGTATTCCAAATCTGTTTCATGCTCATGGATTATAAATACACTAGATAACTAAAAGCAAGTGTTTTGAGTTCTTCCAGCACACATGCATGGAAACAGAATTGGGAGGCAATGCTGCCTCTGAGTTCATATGAAATATTCAGCTCTCTAGGTTTTCTGGCAGCATTCCTTATCAGTGCTACAGAGATTATCTTCTATAAGTTCCTATTTCTAAACGACATTGAGTACCTTATTTTTATTTCAGAATAAGATTTATAGAAAACAGTTAAAATATATGAGGTTAGGATTTACTGTGATACTTAAATTCTAAGTGAAAATGTGTTCATATTGCTCAATATTCAAGGCCAAAGTCTGTCCTTAATTACTAACACAATTTCCAGTGCACTGATGATGAGGGTCACTGAAAGGGACTGTTTGGTTGGGATGCTCAGAGGTGGAAGCTCCGCATGGACTGAGGCCACAGCTCGGGCAGGCGGGCAGGAGCAGCCTCTTCTCATGCCTCTAGTTATTTGAAATGGCATGAATCCAGGACAAGACTCACCCCTGTGAGTCCCACAGAAATTTAAAAATGTCCTTCGGAGTATTTCCCTTTATCAAAAGTGTAATTTCTACATTCCTATTTCAATTTTATTTGGCCACTTCTCCTCAAGTAAAACCAATGAAAAATATAATATATATTCTTATGCTTGGCAGTTACTATGGAGCTACCATTTATCAGCACTAAGACAGATCTTTACACTGTCTTTCTTCTTCTAATCCTGACTTTTTTCTTCCAAGTCACAAATTATATATTTAAGCTAAAGTTTCCTAGTATGCTTGTAATTCAAATACTGACATTTTATTTTACTCTTAGGCAGTTAATTTCCTACAGAGAGGTTAATTTCCCCAGTACCATTTTGTATTCCAAGGAAAATTAAAGATAATTTAAAGTCTCTAATATTATTATTTTAGAGGAGAATATTTAAATATAAGACTACTATATTTTATTGCAAATATTTAGGAAAGAAAAGTTGTAGTTTTAACTGTCAATACACTTACCAGAAACACTGTGTATCACCGAATTTATTAGTGCCTCGTTTTGGAAACACTGTGAAGTACTATACATGTGTGAAATGTTATCATCATAGTTACATAGACAAAGGTATCCATAATCCTCAAACACCGCTCCCAAATTACACACCCTAAAATCATTTCATAAAATATTGGTGCAAGCTCTACAGAATGTGTACTTTTTAGAATGGATTTTCTAAAGCTTTTCTGACATTCACCTAAACCTAGAATATAACTGACAATGTTTTATTTTCAAAATCATGCAGCAAACCCAGAAAATAATACAGGCAACTTAGGAAATTTGGGGACTGTTAGAATCTGAAGATTTGAAAATGGCCAACTCTTAAGCATGGGTTTAGTTAAATAGGTAAAAATCATATAATTTGTAAACAGAGACTTGGGTTACAGTCTGATTTCTGGTCGAGGGTCCTTTGGCAAGTAGTAAAGTATTCATAGGAATAGCTTGGTATATGCAGCAGATACTATGTTAAGCACTTTAGAAGCAAGTTTTTCTTTTTCTTTTTCTTTCTTTTCTTTCTTTCTTTCTTCTTTCTTTCTTTCTTTCTTTCTTTCTTTCTTTCTTTCTTTCTTTCCCTTTCTTTCTTTCTTTCTCCTTCCTTCCTTTCTCCTCCCTTCCTTTCTCCTTCCTTCCTTTCTCCTTCCTTCCTTCCTTCTTTCCTTCTTTCTTCTTCTTTTTTTTTTTTTTTTGGAGACGGAGACTCTCTCTGTCATCCAGGCTGGAGTGCAAAGGCAATAGCACAGTCCTGGCTCACTACAACCTCCACCTCCCAGGTTCAAGTGATTCTCCTGCCTCAGCCTCCCCAGTAGCTGGGACTACAAGTGCGTGCCACCACATGCTGCTAATTTTTGTATTTTTAGTAGAGTCGGGGTTTCACCATGTTGCCCAGGCTTGTCCTGAACTCCTGACCTCGTGATCTGCCCACCTCGGCCTCCCAAAGTGCTGGGATTACAGGCATGAGCCACCATGCCTGGCCACAAGCAAATTTTTCAAAAGCTTACAGCAGCCCTTTTGGTTACTACTATTGTCTCTGTTTTGCAGATCAGGAAACTGAGACTTAGGAAGATTGAGTAACCCGCCTAATGTCTTGGTATCTGGGAAGTGGAAGAAACTGTTTTTAACATAAGTGCACTAAGCACCAGGTTAGTTCTAAAAGTCTCAGTTTCCAAGTCATTTCTAGTTCTTTCTCAGCATCGTTTTGAGGCTCCATTAGGATAGGCTAATGGAAAAGTTTTGTAAATAGTAAACTGGTTGTCATTTATGTGATTTCAGAGAGTCTCTTCCAGGTCTGTGATTCTGATATTGTTATTTAACTAAGTCTGAAATACAGGTCTTAAGAATGTAGAATTTGTGTTTCTGTGGTTCTAGAGATTCCTAAACTTGCCTTCAGTTATTCTAATGAGTTACATCTATAGACTCTTTGATAAAAAAGCATGGTCATGGAAGATAAGTTTGTTTTTCTTTAATAGTCTCTAAACTCCAGTGCAATTACACTTGATCTGCAGATTCACAGCTTGAATAATAATGCACATTTGCATTCAGAAATATTTACTAAGGGTTTAGTACAATTTTTACTAAGGGTTTACAACAAATATACTGTGCTATGAACTATATTCAGGGGATATAAAGGAAAAATAGATATAGACTCTGCCCTCAAGAAGCTCATAGTCTATTGAACAGATTGTAAATTGACATTTCAAAATTAGTTTCTTTGAATTTGACAAAAAATAAATATGTAGAAATATGTATAAATCTTCTAAGAAATGCCAACATTGTCAGCTGTGAAACACATGCACATTAAAAATGAATCTTTTGAATTTAAGTTCATTTTCAAACAGAAATCCATATAATGGCATAATAAATTCATCTTTTCAAATGGCACTAATTCATTGAGTCGTTAGTGAGCACCTATAGAAGTTACCTTTCTTGTAACAGAAAATAAAACATAACACACTATGATACACTTGACAGCTAACTCAGTCAGCTCCAAAACAAACTCATAATATTGCTTTAGGACCTTTTATTTCATATGTATTTCCTGGTGAACAGCACCATCTTCCCAAGTTACAATTCTCAAGACCCCTTTTCTCTCACCTCCATCAGCCATTGAAATGTGCATTTTATTTTGTATACATGAGGCTTGGCTCAGGGAATGATACAAATTATTATTTCTGTGTTTACTGTGGTTATATTAATGCTTAGAGGTCCATGCCTAAACACTTTTAACACTTTCTACAAAATTTTTTCTTTCTTTTTAATTATTTATTATTTTGGAGAAACGGGGTCCCGCTGTGTTGCCCAGACTGGTCTTGAACTCTTGGCCTCAAGTGTTCTGCCTGCCTCAGCTTCCCAAAGCACTAGGATTATAGTCAGCCACAATGCTTGGCCCCTAAGCACTGTATATGATGTATTTTAATGCACATTGCTTTAGATATTTCTAGTAAAATCAAGGCAAGTTGTCATTCCCATTAATTTATAACTTAGACTCTGAAACTCAAAGAGGATGATTAATTTGTCAACAATTCACATAGCTAATGAACAGCAAAGCTGGGTGCTGAATCCAGGCCTTGCTGCAGAGGCTATGCTCTTCTACACCAGAGAGCCAATTTTGGAAGAATGGAAGTGTTTCTACAAATGAAAAAAATGGGGACAGACATTAAAGCAGTGCTATGGTCTTTGAAACTGGGAAAGTGGAAGTGTAAACAGACATATTTGGAGTAGAGGTTCTTATGTGGAGATGAGATGGGGTGTCAGCTAAAACTTTAGACTGAAGAGAACCCAAAACAGTAAGAAATTATAAGAGATGAGAGAGGAGTAAGACTTTAATTCAGTCCATTTCACTTTCTTGTGTCTATCCTCTTTATTCTCTAAATTGATACTGCATACCCATGACAGAATTACGGTTCTTGAATTATCAATCCCCTGTCCAAACCATCCCTGTTATCAAATTCAAACTTTTATTTTATTTGCTTCTAAAGTCCTGAATTTATAATTAGGCTTTTGCCCTCCTGTTTTCCCTCCCTCCAACACTATTCATTCATATCCAATGAGATGCTTTCCTGTGCCACCTCATCCCTTTTTGTAGCTTAGGGTTTTTTATTTGCTCTCTTCAACACTCTTTTATACCCCTCCTTGACCTCCTCATTCATTCAAGATTAAACTCCACTTTATTAAGTCTTATTTTTATAAAATCTGGCCCCTCCTAATAGTATTTCTTTGGCAATTATGATACAATGCACAACACCTTCTGATTTAACACATACTTATCACCTTATTCATAACAAGTTGCTTCTGTCTTTCCAGCATATAATAAGCTTTGTAAGGCCCAGTATCAAGTCTGACTTTTTTTTCAATAAAGTGTGTGGCACAGCAAAGAAAGCAAGACAGTTGCCAAGTGAACACTCAGTTAATTAAAGTTACAACTGAACACTAAAGAAGCTGCATATTAACAGGGGCAAATAACTTGGTAGCAAACACACACAGATGCATAAGGAATATAGAATATAGAAGTGATAAATAGTTTGTTATCTATGAGACAATATGAGTGGTTCAGATTCACAGTTGTTGAGTCTAATCTGGGGCTGCCAAAGGATTTTGTTTTATTTAATTGCTCATTTCTCTCCATATAAATTCTGACATCTAAGTATATCGGTCCAATTTTACTTCATTAATCAAATTAGTCTGGGTAATGGACAGTCTTTTTCTTTCTTCTGTTATCTTAAGCTATCCTCTGGCTCATGAAAAGAGAGAACATCTTTTAAAGTACATTATAGATACATGCACTAGCCCCAGCGGGGCTGGCTGCCTCCTTCCCAATATAATCACAGCTTTTTTCACATTGCACTGAGATTTTCGGTGGTCTTCACTAGACTGTGAGCTACTTAGGAGCAAAGAGACCTATGTCCTTAGAGTGAAATCTTACTTTAGACACAGAAAAATTGTCTTTGGGTAAAAGTGAGAGGATTTTAGTAAGTCTAGATACTTTGTAATAAACAAGGTGGGGAGTAGAAGTGAGAAAGAATCTTTGGGGTTTAGACGAGAATTTTAAATAAAGAGCTGTGATGTCCCTGTTCATGGACAGGCATCCTAGCATAATTCAAGTGAAATTATCCACATGAGACATAAGAACTCAGAGGGAGGATGGAGGACAGCTTGTATGACTGTCCCTTTCACTTGAAGACTCTCATTATAGGACTCTTTGATTCTAAATCTTGAAAGCAGTGTGTTTGAATGAGTAATGATCTTTATGATCCTTCACCAGTCACCTACTCAGATGGAGAAGTCCATAAAAAACTGTTTTCCATTTTTAATTAATTTTTAAAATTTTTTTAAAAAAAATTATTAATCATTTTTTTCATTAATGCCTTACTTGGGTACTCAAAAATTGATTTAAAACACTAATATATAACCATAAATCCTTAAATCCCTTCATTTTCATATCTACATATTTAGTTGGTGTTTTGTTTTTTTTGTTTTTTCCTAGAAGGAGTCTTGCTTGTCTCTCAGGCTGGGATGCAGCGGCGTGATCTCAGCTCACTGCAACCTTGGCCTCCCAGGTTCAAGCGATTCTCCTGTCTCAGCCTCCAGAGTAGCTGGGATTACAGGCACATGCCACCACGCCTGGCTAATTTTTGTATTTGTAGTAGAGACGGGGTCTCACCATGTCAGTCAGGCTGGTCTTGAACTCCTGGCCTCATGATCCACCCACCTTGGCCTCCCAAAGTGCTGGGATTACAGGCATGAGCCACTGTGCCTGGCCTAGTGGGTGTTAATTTAATGCTATTATAAGCCAGGCATTGAGCCATGAGTCAAGCACTAGGAATTTACTCACAAATACAATAGCATTCCAGTCATTCAATGTGGGGAGTGCAAATAAATAATAATATCACGTAGTAGGGTAAGTCCAAGGTGCCTTGAGATCATAGCAAAGTGGAGCCTAAATCAATCTGGGGTGGTCAGAAAAAACTACCTAAAGAAAGTGACCAGATGGCCAAGAGCCACCAGCTCACTCATGCAGCTACTGTCTTTTATACAGAATTGAAAATAAGATATGGTTGCTAAGTTACAGGTTTCAATTGACGATGACAAATGCTTGTAATCACAAATTTTCTTGGCTTTTTTAATGAGCTATAGTAAGCAAATGTAATGATGATAATTTTAGTTCATTAAAGCTTATTTTCATTTTAAATTAATGGAAGTATGTAACCAAAGAGATCAAACATGGCAATTACCAAGTGGGCAAGATATTTAGACAACAAACGCTGATAAAGACTAAAATGCCAAAAGATTCCCTTAGTTTATCTGTTCCTTTGGACACAGCAAGACAAATTCAACATTTTGTAACAAAATCACCACATTTTCTTTTATTTAGATATTATGAATCAAGAAAAGTGTTAATATATGCTTTTTGTAAACATGTAAAAATTTAGAACAGTGTACGTTAAAAATGGAAATTCTGCATTATAACACAAAAGAAAAATAATCACTATCAACATTTGAGTATAGTCTTTTTCAGTCTCTTTTATATATTATTGTTCTTTTGAAATTGCAATCAAAAGAGAACCTATCTTTTTCCCTCACCATTATCTTACATATTTCCCATATGTTAAAAATCTCTAAATCATGAGTTTAGTAGCCATATAATAATATTTATCATTTAGCTATTCTGCCTAATAGCCCATTGCCTGCAGTCTAATAATTTTGAAAATCTAGAGTATTACTATCACTAAATGGAAATGGAAAATGTCTCTATTTATTTATTTATTTATTTATTTATTTATTTATTTATTTATTTTTAGTTTATTTTCTTAGAGACAGTGTCTTACTTTGTCACCCAGCCTGGAGTACAATCATAGCTCACTGCAGCCTTCAACTCCTGGGCTCAAGGGATCCTGCTGCCTCAGCCTCCTGAGTAGCTGGGACTATATAGCAGTGGCAGCCACGCTAATTTTTTTTTTTTTTTTTGGTGGAGAAGTGGTTTCACACCATCTTGCCCAGACTGGCCCTTTAAAATATGATACGATATAATTTTTGCACATTGATTTTGTATCCTGAGACTTTGCTGAAGTTCCTTATCAGCTTGAAGAGATTTTGGGCTGAGATGATGGCGTTTTCTAAATATAAAGAGGTTAAGACATTGCTTTTTTGAAAATAAAATACTATTTTAGCAACAATGTCCTCTCAATAAAAATATTGAAACTTGTTTTCTAATCTGTGATTTTATCAATTCTGTTAAATGAGGATTATTTTCACAGTGACTTTGTTTTTATAACATACAATCATTAGCAAATTTTGTGAAATAAAGAATAAAATGCTAAAGGCATGTGCATTATTCTGTTCTCACACTGCTATAAAGAACTGCCCAAGACTGAGTAATTTACAAAGGAAAGAGGTTTAATTGACTACAGTTTCACATGGCTGGGGAGACACAGGAAACTTACAATCATGGTGGAAGAGGAAGCAAACACGTTCTTCTTCATATGAAGACAGGAAAGAGAAGTGCCGAGCAAAGAGAGAAATCCCCTTATAAAACCATCAGATCTCAGGAGAACTCACTTACTATCATACTCCCATGATTCAACTCCAACGTCCGGGTCTCTCCAACGACACATGGGGATTATAGGAAATACAATTCAAGATGAGATGTGGGTGGGGACACAGCCAAACCGTATCAGCATGTATATATTATATATGTACATGAAAGATCTGATATATGATGCATAACAAATATAGTGATTTATAAAGTTATTCTGAACTCTATATGTGTTTGCTGTATTTTCATTTTTAAGAAATAAATTTGCAAATAATGGTGGGCAAAGGTATGCACATGAAAGTTCATAAATCATTATTTTGAGGAGAAGGAATAACCATATCTTGCAAACTATTTATGTTACTATCTCACTGTATTTTTCCCTTTGGCAGGCTCTGTGTGTGTGTGTGTGTGTTTGTGTGTGTGTACACATACACACATATATATGATGGTAATTGTACTAATTATTATTTTAATCTTGCAATTGTTCAACTCATTTTTTAACAAGTTTTTATTACTCTGTAATATGTGATTGAGTGGCAAGTCACGGTTGTAGTACAGATTCTTATTTGTGCCAACTAAATTAAATAATTAACCTCTATCAAGAATAACTTTAAAAAGGCGGCGGATGCTTGATATTTAATCAGTAGTAGACTATATAGTGTTCTATCGGCATCTATATTAATCTGTAGGGAGATTTTATTGCCTCTATGCATATTATAGAAGGTGCTTAAGTTTTGTTTACTTTCCTCCCACCAAATGCCAGCTCTTTTCCAACCTGTTTATTATAACCGACTTGGTTTGCAGTTCGGAAGATACATGGTTGCAATGATAAGCTAAGTATTTGTTGCTAGAACTAACAGTTCTTGCTGAAAAACAGTGAGCAGAATTACATACCAAAATGGGTCTTACAAACAGCAACTGAAGTAACAAAATAACATTCCTTGTCTAGGAAACGGCTTCTTAGTGTATTTGATATGGGAAAGGAACCACATTTTGCTATATACATGAATGATGAACCGTGCTATTAGAAGTCTTTTTAACACACAAACATAATTATGTTATAGACTGCTTAAAATAATTCTTGCTGTCTTCTGTGGAAGAATATGGCATAACATCCTTATCCTATCCTCCAGGGCAGTTTACAAGGCCCCTCCCTGCCTCGCAGTGCTGTCCAGTCCCTCTCCCAACCCCTCCACTCCACCACCTACCTGCCATCCCCCCTACCCCTACTCTATTCTCCAGATGCATTATCGTTCTCCAATGTCATCCATACACCTTACACTTTTTCCTGTAATGCTGTTCTCTCTACCTGAAATATTTTTCTTTCTCTTTAGAGTATAGCAGAATCTCATGCGTCTTTCAAAGACTAAGCAGATTGTCACATAATTTCTGAATTTCCCCCCAACACCTATGAGAGGTGAAGAAAAGGAAATACAAAACATTGGGGTAAAATGAACAGCAGTGTTTTCCTGTATCATTCATTTACTAGAATTTCCAAATATCTGCACAAGACAAACAATGCACCTATCTTTACCTGGACATTAGCCAGGACTGGTGTGGAATATCTATGCTCCTCTAAATAACTCGTGCTTTAAAAAATTACTCAACTAGCTCTATGAGCTCCATAAATCAGTATTACATTTTGAGGACATCTTTTTTTGCATCTGACTAGAACATCCTTCTACCATGACCCTGCCCCTTCTGTAAGAAAATAAAACAAAATAATAAAAATAAAAGCATATAAAGAGTCTACATAAAAAATTCCTGAATCTAGAACTGTTGGCACAAGTCAGATGGAGAACTCTCATGATCAACAGACTTCCTTAAGCAGCTTGGCTGCATGTTAATTAGTTTAACCATTCCCCAACTAAATATTGCTAGGTAATGCTTTAATGAAATGTTCGTGTTTAGAGGTTTTCCTACATTCATGGGGTCAAATGATTCACAATTTCAATGGCTTTTGATAAATTGTTACAAATTGATTTTCAAAGGCTTTGTATCAATTTTAAATGTCCCAGATATCTTGAGTGACTTAACATTCTCTTCATCTGTACCACCAAAATTAGCTAATTTATTATGTAAAATTGTGTATCTCAATTTGATTTTCTCTGACTATTAAGGTTAAATATACTTTATAGTTTGTTTACTGGGCTTATTTATTTATTCCAATGTGAATTTTCTGTTGTATATCTTTTGTCATTTCTTTTCAATCTGAATGCAGGGTGTATGTGTGTGTGTATGTGTGTATGTGTGCTCTCCTTTATCCAATGTAGTTGCACTGAAATATTTCTGCAAGATTTCACGGCCCTTATGTTTGTTTTACTTTAAAAAATGTACCAGTGTAGTGAAATGGCAACTGTTGTGGACAATATGGAGAAATTTGATCAAATTAATTATTTTTAAAAGAATCCACATGTAACTGCCCACACGGACCTAAAATGTATTGATTCATATCCTGGCATCATCCCACATCTATCCTATACCACAACCTTTTCTGCATTTTAATCAGCAATATGGATAATAATATAGTAAAGAGTCCCACAGAATTTAAAAATAGTTTATAGCTAGCTGAATTAAGATTGAGGACGGTCTAGATGTTTCCAAACAAATTAAAATTTAAGAGTGAACATAAGAAATATTTCTAACTGTGAATTTTTAAAAATGTTCTATGGAGAGGTTAATTTGTAGCAATTTGTGTGGAAAAAAGAGCAGAGTGTGAGCATAGACTTAACAGGAACCAATATAATGATGTAACTGAATAATTAAGACCCACATAATCTTGGACAACTCTTTATACGTACAATGCCTAAATAATTGGAAGTAATATTCCCATCCAGACAGAACAGGTCAGGCCATAATCATGAGTGTCAGGAATGTGGAGTTTAATTCTATACTGATCGTAACAGGGGTGTATTGTGTGAGTTAATTTAAGTTATTATATTTTAACAAAATTTCAATAAGTCCAGGGGACATCCAGAATGCCAAAATTTGGATGTTAAAGGTTTTAGAAACTATGTTATGTAAAGAAATGTTACTTAGCTTGGGAAATCACTAAAAGGATGTGTGATACCTGTTTTTAAAAAATGTGACGAGTGTGAGTCATAAGAAAATTAACCAGATTTGTTTTGTGTTATTCAATTCTGGCTAAGAATTTGTTGTTATAGATATCCAATCAAGAAACAGTTTCTCTCTCTTTCTCCCCTACTTCCTCCAACAAACAGTCTGCAAACATATGAGTACAGAACATTAATGTTCCAGACACTGTAATAGGCCTTCATGATAGAGTCTTTAGTACGGTATCATCCTCGTTGTCACGGAAGTCACAGTCTAACAGTGTTGACAGGTTATCTATCTATCTGTCTATATATGTCTGTCTGCCTCTCTCTCTGTCTATCTTCCAAGGCATATACAAGATACAGAGACTACCAAAAAGGAAATTTGATTATTTAAGCAAAATCTGACCAACATCTGTGTTGAATGGGATATCACACATTTTTAAATTTATAATCACAGTATCTCTGTGCTACTTTCCAAAAATAATGTGCATAGTCTAAAAGTATATATATTCTATATGTAATACTTGTATGCATATATTATACATATACATTTATAATATGATTTTAGAAAAATCAAAGATGTAAAACCAATGAAAATTGTTTAAAATGAGGAGTAATGTTATTACTAAATAGTAAATTTGGAAATGAGCTTCCTAGTTGTCAGAGAAAAGAAAGTAACATTTTGACTTAACAGACTTCCCATTAAGAAAGCAGGAGACGTGCATGTTTTTGGGGAGGAAAAAAGGGATCACTTTGTATTGATGTTAAATTTTTGGAACAAAAAGTGATGAATTCCCTTTCAAACTTGCCTAGGTAAGACTGTATACATAGTTAAAGATTAAGTAATTAACCAAGGATAACCTAATTTCAAATAAGGAGGGAATAAAGGGTTATGGAAACTAACAAATTGCTCATGAGATTTACCATAGAAGGTGCAATGTAGATGATCAAGAACTGAAAGGAATAACATTATACATTTGACTCTAACCTTCTCTTTCCAAGAGCTTCCTAGTTCCAAGAAGTACTGAGGAAGCAGCCAATGTCTGAACAGATGGGATTCTCCTGAGTGTGCTTGCTAGTTCACCTGGGCTTCCCAAAAGGGCTTTCTCCTACTTTGAAAGTGGTTTGTATCAGCATTTTGAATTTCTTTTGTCAGCAGACACTAAATGTTATATGCACCTAGAATTTATCTTCTACCAGATTTAAATTTATCAAAATGCAATCTGATCAGCACAATGTACGTCAATTAGCATTAACAGTCCTAACTTCTTTCTTCTAGGATATATTTTCTTTATACTCAGCTCATATGTTAAATTAAATTTAATGGAAACAAATGAGAAAAAATGTTTATGATAAACAAAATATGTAATATTTATTTTGGATCTACTATCCCATTGTCTTCATATTCTTTACTTGATTTTTCGATAATATAACACAGGAAAAGTGTTAGCTATTTGAAGGATGCCCCAAAGATGAATGAAGAGAAAACTCACCATGTATTTCTCATTCATTTATTCAAGGATATTTACCGATTCCTATTTTGCATCAACCATTGTGAGAGGTTATGAGGACAGGACGTTTAAAAAGTCAGACACAGCCCTGAAAGTTTTTATTCTAGTGGGGAATATGGATGATAAATAGGTAAACAAATATTTGGAAATAATAGTTACAGATTGTGATAAAAAAAAGATGATCATTAGGTTGGCAATGTGATATAGAGTGATTGGTGTTTTGGTGTGGGATAAATTTGGCTACAGAGGTTAGCCAGCAAAGTTTTCTGAGAAGGTGACATTTAACCTGAGTCTTAAAAGTTCAGAAAACTCTAGTTAGGCAAATAACTGTATTGGAGGAGTCCAATAAAAGGGAATGGCAGGTACAAGGGCATAGACGAAAGAAGACCAGAGTGGACCCCAGAATGGTGAACAAGACAAAGAAGCAGGCAAGAGTCAGTTCATGCAGGGCCATGGTAAAGAGTTGGAATTTTATTCTAAAGCAATGAAAAGTCATTGGAGGGTTCTAGGTACAAAAGAAACAGTCTCTGATTTATAAATTCAGAAGGGTACCCCCGGCTCAAATATGTTAAGTAGATGGAGAAAGGTAAAAAGCAGAAGCAGGAAATTAATTATGAAATTATTAAAGTAGTGCCAATTGGGAATGCAAATTAGCACAACTTTCAGTCTGAGAACTAAAAATAGTACTACCCTTTGATCCAGCAATCCCACTACTGGGTATCTATACACAGGAAAATAAATCATTATCAAGGTACCTGCACTTGTATGTTTATCACAGAGCTATTCACAACAGCAACATCATTGAATCAATCTAAGTGTCCATCACTGGAGGACTGGATAAGGAAAATATGGTATATATATATATATATATATATATATATATATATATACAATGGAATACTACTTGGCCATAAAAAAGAATGAAATTGTGTTGTTTTCAGCAACACAGATGGAACTAGAGGCCATTATTTTAAGTGAAACAAGTCAGACACAGAAAAATCAAATATTACATGTGCTTATTTATAAGTGGGAGCTAAGCAATGTGTACTCATGGACAACTGAGTTTGGACTAATAGACATTGTAGACTCTGAATAATGGGGGGGTTAGAGGAGGGTGGATGATGATAAATTACTTAATGAGTGCAATGCACGTTATTCAGGTAAAGCATACTCTAAATGCCCTGACTTCATCACTACACAATCTATACATGTAACAAAATTGCATTTCTACCTCATAAATTTATATAAGTAAAAAAATTAAAATAAAACCATTGATTTGGACAAGGAGGGTGAAATAGAGATGGAGAAAGTGAAAATGTGATGTACTTTGGAGGTAGAGGCATGGGGATTTGGTCAGGTGGTGAGTGACAATCAGAAGAAAGAAAAAAAAAGGAAATAATAGAAGAAGCAAGACTATCAGAAAGGGGTAAATAAGTGAAGAACGACAAATAGGAGAACTTCAGAAGATAAACAGCAGAATTTCTGTCCAAGCTCAAATTCAGTCAAAAAAGAGCATCAGTTTTGCACAAATGTAGCAGTTCAAAGCACTTTTAAAAGAGCAGCTTATGCAAATAAATAACACAAGAAAACCTCACAAAGATCAGTTTCTAATGTAAGAAAATAAATTCCAGAAGAGTTAGTGTTACAAATATAAAATTAAAAATTATAAAAATGCTAGAAAAAATGTAGAATAATATTTCTATAGTTGTAAGGCTAGGAATGCCTTTTTTATGCTAACACAACACCCTGAAGCCATAAAGAAAATGAGTCACAAGTTTGACTAAACAAAAATTTTAAATGTTTGTGTGGCCAAAGACATCATCAATGAATCTGGAAGCCAAAGGGAAAGTGGAAAAATAATTTGCAACGTATATGACAAAGGGTTAATTTCTATAGTATGTAAAACACTCTCACAACCGAGAAAGAAAACATTTGTAAAGGAAAAAAACAGAGAAAGAAGTACACAGATCTGATAAATAAAATTGTCTTAAGCCTCTCAATTAACCAAAAATGTGTAAATTAAAGCAGCAATGAGAAATCATCCTCACCCTTCAGGACAAGTAAAGATTCAAAAAACTGATAATCGTCACTGTTGGCAAGTCATAGAAAAAAATTATTCTCACATGCTGGTTGTTGTAAATTTAAATAAATTTTGAAAATATATGATAATATTCATTAAAAGCATAAATCTTAATTATTTGATATAGCAATTTTACCTCCAGGAACTGATCTTGCAGGAATAGTCACTCAGGTACAAGAAGTTTTACTGTTGTTTAGTTTGTAATATCAAAGACCTGGAAATAATCTAAATATTGATCCCGAGGAGATTGAATACATTAATCATAGAAACTTCATGCAATGGCATGTTATGCAGCAGTATAAGAAAATGAAGCAGTTCTTAAATACCAAAAGAATACCTTTTATGATTAACAGAAATAAACCATTAATAAGATATAGCTATAAAATATTATCTTATTAAATACTTTTATTTCTAGATACATATTAGAAGCTTATGTTTAGAGTAATATCTGTTTCTCTAGGTCTATACAGAAAAAAAAAAAGTCTGGAAAGATCCCTAGCAAACTGTTTAGTCTGATTAGCTCCAAGTGTTGTGATTAAGGAATATTCTAACTTTTTAAGATTTCTGAAGTATTTGAAATTTTTACAAGTATGTGTGAGTTTTAAGATAAAAATATAAAAAATGGGAAAATCACAGGGCATAATATATTTAAAGTCTGCTCATTTTGGAATAAACATATCAGCAACAAAAATAAGCAAATAGTGATTATAGCTTATAGTATAATTTCTGCTATTTCTGGAAAAACAGTGGCTTATTGAAAGAAGGAATACATCTCAAATATTTTTTATCTTTTATTTCTAACATAACATTAAACTTTTTATTGACAATATCAACAGTTTTCTTAAGTCGGAGGCACCTGATGATGCTCTAAAAATGAGCAATTTTGAGATAGCATGGTGTTCTTTAGGACAGTCATCACCCTATTTATTTGAAATCCAAAAATATGACCCCCCCCAAAAAATGGAAAGAAAATACTTGATAGCTCAGTAAATATTTAAATGAAGCATTCTGGAAAATAGTTTTGAATATCTGCAGTTATCCTGAAATCAAATAATTTTTCTATAAAAATATGTAGACTGGCCAACTAATGAAGCATCCAACACTGTTTACATAACAGTTAAAAGAGTCATTTAGTCGTTTTTACACTTGGTTGTGTTTATGACATGAATTTGGCAATATAAAGTAATGGGAGTGTTACAGTTTTGGATTCTGAAATTTTTGTGCTGCGTTACAAACCACATAGAAAAATCAATATGTCCATATTTGTTGGGGTAAGTAAAAGTTGTGACAGAGGTAACTTTAAGAAAAACATCTTGAAATCAGAATTAAAGGTTAACCGGCGACAGTCACACTGAATGTTGGGTATTTTGTCAATACTGTATTGATCAAGATGCTGTGGTATGAATGGCAGGCAAATCCTGTATTGGCTAAGAAAACTGACTTTAAATTCAGATGCCCTGGATACTTTGAGGTCTTAGACAAATTTTCTAAGCTATGCAAATCTTCAGGTTCTTCACCTATAAAATAATAATAATGCCTACTTCTGAGTTTTGTAAAAATTGAGATCACAAAATCTGGCACACAGTACTCCATTATAGTAGTTATTATTATTACAAGAGGAGGAATGAGTTTCAAAGAACAAGGAGTTGTCAGCAATGTCAAATCCTGCAAACTATTCTGAGAAAACGAGGCATAAGAAATAACAATTGGATTTACTAATTTGTAAGTCACTGATGACCTTCAAGAACACAGTGTTCCAGGAGTGGTGATGGTAGGGAAAAGTAAATGGTGATGAAAATAGAAAGAGCTGATGTAGAATATGTAACACTTTGGATAGTAAGAGAATAAATAAAAATTATAGGATGACAATGCGAGAGGCAGAGGACAAAGCCAAGGGGTTTTCCAGCTTAGACACACTGATTATTTTCTATGTTAAGGAAGAAGGTAGTAGAGATGGATTTCATTAAAAAAAATTCCTGGTTAGTTTCAAGGCTAAAATCTATTCTGCTTCTAAAATGATGAAGATAGGGAATGAAGAGCTGTTTGTTCATCTAATTTATGTGTGGCTCCTTTAGGGCTGAAGTACTGGGCCTTTTTTGTGACTGGAACTCATTGAGAAGCTGTTCAAAAGTTTGATTGTGTCTCTGTAAACACACACACACTGTGCACAAGTACACACAATTTTGCATAAAATTAGGAGAATTCATTGACCTCCTTTAATCTATCAGTGAAACAATCCTCTCTCTGAATGGCCCAAAGATCTTAGATAAATTTACCCTCTCTTAAGACTTAAAAATAATTTTGACAAATATGGCTTTAGACTTCTGTACGTGATTTAAAATTAACAATTCAGTGAGAAGTCAAAAAATTTTCTACGAAATATCAAAAAATCTATTTAAAATGCCTTTTAAAAATATAAATTTAAAATATAAATAACTTGAAATATTAAAATTGGCTCAGACATACAATTTCCATATGACACAGAAAATGAAATGCAGATATAATAACTGATTTTTAACTACATGTGGAATATTTTCCAAATTATTTTCTAATATTCATAAAATTTATGTGTGATATATGTGATTTATCTGTGTTAACAGACTAGGAAATCGAGACTCAGAAGTGTTACGTAACTTGCCCACTATCAGGCTGCCAATTCAAACTCATCTGGCTCAAAACTCCAGAGGAGATTATCTCTCCATATCTCTAAGTGAAAGAAGAACATTCTAGGCCAATATATCCAAAAACCTATGTATTAGAATCTCTATGGGGTTGCTTTTTTTTTTTCTGGTCATATACAAAAGAACATTCTGAAAAGAAAAGGAAAAACCTATGTTGAAGATATTACAGTTATCCTTGCAATTCTTTCTTTAAACTCTGCAGTTGTCAACGAGGTTGAACACTGTTTACTTGACAGGTTCCCTATCTTTTGGCTTCTATGAAATTACTCTTGCCTCATTTTCCTCTGAATTCTGTGACCCCTTCTCCTCAGCTTTCTTTGTTTTACCTGTTTCCTCTCTCTTCCCCTCAAACATTGGTTCTTCCTAGGGTTTGACTTTCAGCACTCTTGGCACTGCTTCTGCTCTCTCTGGGTGATCTCATTCACTTCCAAGTCTCCAAGGCTCACTGATCATCTGTCTTCAGCTCAGACTGAACCCAAAAGCTCCAGACACACATGTCCAAATCTCTATTGCACAGCCCCCTTTGGATGTATTTTTAACACCTCAAAATCAGTAAGTCCATTGTATAGTCACCCTCCCCACTCAGATCTGCTCCTTCTGTGTGTTGCTTCTTTACTCACTATCTAAACATTTGCCCAAGCCAGAAGGCTGAAAAAACATCTTTTATTTTTACCACACTTCCCCTGCACCCTCCCACACAGACATCCAACCAATCACTAAGTTCCATCAAAAATTCTGCGTTGGATCTATGTGCTTTTCTCTCTCCTCCATGCTTCCACTTTTAACTCAGCAGCCATCATTGTAAATCGTATTACTTTAAGACTCAGTCAACTGGTCTTTTGTACCTATTTTGTCCTCTTCCAATTGATTCTCCCTTTTGCAACCTAGCCTGTTCTTTATAAAACATAAGTTTGCTAATGTCATTATTGTGTTCCAATCATTTATGGGTCCCTCTTTGTATTCAGAAGAGTGTCCTGACCATAGCTACATAACCTCTGAGATCTACAAAGTCTCACCCCTTAGCACAACTCCCCTCCTCACATTCAATACTATTACCAGACTAATCCATGTTCAATGGCTCAAAGACACTTGGCTGTCCCACAACTTGGTGTCTCCTCGTGCACTACTCCTTTGACGAGGCATGCTCTCCTTCCTTGTTCTTTTTCAAATGACTCGACTAGATCTTAACACCCAGATCAGGCAATATCATCCTTAGGATGCCATGCCAAGTTTGATGTAATTATCCTTCCCATTTCCGTGTCCATCTCTCTCCTAGCAATGTTTCTCTGTCATAGCACTTTACCACATTGTACTGTAATCATTACCGTAATCACTGACTTGTCTCTCTTTCCCACTGGGCTATCAGCTCCTTAAGGTCAGCAACTACTCTTATAAGTTTTTGTGTTGCCAGCTGCTAGCATAATGTCTTGAATAGAGTTGCTCTTGATAAACATGTTTGATGAGTAAATGGATAATTCATTATCTTATCTAATGAATGAATGAATGGCTTCATTACATAATATGACTTCAGCCTTTGCTGTATCATTCACTGTCATATGATTCATGAATAAGTTGCCCAGAACTGTCTTGCCCTGTTTTCTTCAAAATTTTGCAATTAAATTAGAGAAATGATAAATGGCAATTCCTTTTTCTTTCTTAATTCAGGCAGGCTCAATATAGATGTTATCTTTTTCACACCCTTATGGCCTTCCGGTAAAAGCACTAGGATAGTAGGTATAAGAATTAGTTCAAGCTCTGGCTTTGTAGTCTATTACTAGATAGTCTTTGGAAGAAAGTAAAGTAACTCCTTTGTACCGAAGCTGTCTTATCTAGAACATAATTACTTTCTTTTTAGACTGTCTCACTGTAAGATTAGCTTGAGGTTAAATAAAATCATATATATATATGAAAAGATATATAAATATATATACACACACACATATATAGTTTTAAAAAATATATGGTTGTCATAAAGTGTAAGGTGTATTATTATTTATCCTTCATTTTAAAATCCAGAATAATAATATTGCTCTAATAAGATTTTATATATATAATCATATGTATATATATATATTTCCCAATGCCAGGATGTAAAATATTTCCTCCTTGAAAAATAACACTTTCCAGATTGAAAAAAAATTAGGAGTTTTTTTGACAGCTTTATGAAAGCTTAATCCTACGACAACTCTAAAATACATCAAATATATACAAATTATGCATCATCCTATCACTTAAGAAAGAGAAAAACTATAAGAATATGACTCATATCTTTCTCAATCTCAGGATGAAAAATTAAGGTAAGAGAGAAAAAATATAAAACTAAAGAATTATCTGAAATCAACTTAGAAGCTTGCTACCAATTCAAAATAAGAAAAGCTAATGAGAGTCACAGTTGAGTCACATCACTCATTTTCCTAAATATAGGCAAAAGTCAAATAGTATTTAATTCTAGTATTTCTTTACTAACAACTTTGCAAGTCAAATCATCAGAATTTTATCTTTAGCATGTTTAAGATTATTATATTAGTCCAGTGTAAACTCTTAGAATGCCTTTTTAGGGCTTCATGATCCTGGAAAAGAAAACGTGCAAAAATATTTAAACATAGTTGAATTAAACAAAAAAATATTATATTATTTAGTACACTTAAATTCAGTGAGTTTTTATTAAGTACCTACTTTATAAGTGGAAAATCCTGCAGAGCCTACTAGGTTTAGTGTCATATTTTCAATGTATTTAAATTAACTAAACAACTCTATTTTACGTATACTTTTACAAGTACTTTGTAAAGTACTGCTCATTTTGGATACTTAGAGTCCACAAATAAATCAGCCACACAGAATTAATATTTAACTTAAAAAAGAAACTTTTTCATCATTACTAGGGCATAATATTGATTCTATTTGTGATTTTTACAGCTTTTCAATCCATTATCTTGTAAACAATTGAATAAAATGATTCTAGCTAGAAAAAGAGAACAAGATAAAAAAATCACTTTAAAATAAGAAAAATATTAATCAATTAGTCCTTTCTATCAAAGTTTAAAAAGTTTTAAACAGTCTATAAAATTCTATTATTATTTCACCAAGACGATAATACATGAGTACTTGATCCATTCTATTAGTACTTCTTATTGCCATCTGAGATTTAAATGACTCATTTCAGAATCTGAATATTTATGGATTATATTGGACAGGGACTGCCTTTTTAAAGGGCTGATTCTTTTACAGGATTTCTAATGTAGCTGAATTAAACTAACAATCAAAATGACTAAAATATATTTATCTTTTGCAAAATTTGGAGATGGACTAATTTAGTATTTTTGTTATTACTCTTGGTCAAACTGAACATATCTCATCCTCCAAATCAAAATATCTCTATCCATTAACTATTGAAAAAATATGAGAAAACAGCCAGCTTTTGGGTTATCTCAAATGTTTTGTGATGGACATATCCAATTAAACTAGCATTTTTGTTTGCAAAGATAACTATTCTGTTATCTACCTGTGATACAACAATATGACATTTTAATTAAAGAAAGTTGCCTATATTAAATTTATTTTTTAAATGTCCATTCCGTCATACTTCATATTTTGGATACCTCACAAAAAAATGTATACTTGTAATTACATTTTGAAATTTGACTACAAGGGCTATTACACTCACTTTTTTTGTTATTGTAATAGGTCATAATTTTGTATTATCTGTATTTCATATAATTTTAGTTTAATATTCATCAAAGTGTGACTTTCCAACAATAGAATGGTTGGAATAAACTATAAGCCAAAATTGTTCCTTCCTCAGGAATGTGGGATTTATACCAAAAATTATAAGTTTAAGTTAATCAGGTTTAGACTTATGAGCATGTAAACTCTATACACAGAATAGTTTATGTTACCATAGTATTCTTAGAGCACTAATTTAGTTTTGAGGCAGATGAACCAGCATTAAATAAGCTGTACCCTAGATAACTAACACGCTTTATTCTTTGTGTTTTTTTTGAGTATACATTCCACAAAATAATTAAACATATACTGTTTAATGGCCCTTATTCACAGACAGATCAGATCCTCCAGTTTTACAAGGAGCCACTGTAGAAAAATCATGACTAAAATAAACTTAACCAGCCACATATTATGTCTTTATATTTAATCTAACATGACAAATTTAAAAATCCAGTCCGTATCATGGTGAGGAATAAGTTTCATGTTAATTATCTAGAATATTAAATTTCAAGACCTATTTTTACCCTTTTGTACTCAAAGGCATAGAGCTTGATAAATGAGGTTGCCTTATATTTACTGCTTACGTTTTACCTTTAATTAGATTGGAAAATCACGAGTCTGTATGCTCTCGGTCAGTCCATTCAACAAACACCAATCACCTGACCCACACTCTTGACTATTGATTTTTTCCCAAATTCTGCTTAGATTTGCCTTAAGGATTTTCAGCATGCTCATTTGTCAAAATAACTTTCCTTTTCTCTGCTAGAAAATGTTCTCTCCTTATTTACAATTTGTTTTCTTAAAAAATTTTTAAACATACGCAAAATCAATTGTATGTGATTATAACAAATATTAGATCACTAATACTGTATTATTCTTGGATTCTAAATAAACAGACTTAAAGTTTACTCGTGTCAATTTTCTCAATCCTTATATGTTAAGGAATAACATACTCTACGTTTCATATTTTTTTCTACTTTTTAATTCTGTATGCAACTTGCTAATATTTATCATGTTTACAAGTACTTTACCAGTAACACTTTATTTCACATATATTTTTATTACATAAATAAAATAATACTAGTTACAGTTATCCCAAATGAGGTTAACAAACAAAAAGGAGGAAAAGAGGATTAGCCTCATATAGTTTACATTACTGGAAGTCACAATACAAACTTTAGAATATTTAAGATCTTACTTTGTAAAAATGAAACAAAATAAAACATATATCTGCCACTTGTAAGGAAATCTTTCAAAATTTAATAATAATAATTAATATGTTAAAATAATTACTATTGATAAAGTACCTTCACATGTATTTGGATCATAGATTATTTTTAAAAGTAGTAAGATTGACAGAATCTTAGGAGAGACATGAGAAAAATATTTAAATAAACAAATAATATTTACGTATTAAAAAGAATGCTTTCCTTAGAACTACTTAGAATGCTGACATCCCTTTTAAAACTTGGAACATAAAACTATTAACTGAGAAATTTTACAAAAAGGACTACCCACAAACCTTGTTCTAATTTATGTGCACTTCTGAATAAAAATAACACCCTTTTGCTTTAATGCAATATTGATTTTATCACCAAATATGTCAAGAGATTTTTAAAAATTAAGTAGTAACTCATAGAACCTATAGCCTTCCTGAAAAATAATATAATTATTCACTTTGCAAAAGTGACATATGCTTCAAGCTCCTCATGAAACTAAGTTCTAAAAAGAATTAACGGTTAAAGAGACACCAAAAATTAAGAAAATTTTATCATGTTATCTGCTATATGAATTAACAGCCAACACATACAAATTAAATAATTTAAGTTGATGAAACAGATGTCCTCCAGACAAATTTAAAAACTCTGTTTTCAATTTCACTTGTTTCTTTGTTCAGCACACTTTCTTGTACTGAAAGAATTTTAAATAAAAATGTTCCCAGCTTGATATGACAAAAAGGCTTTACAATTCAGCTTGAACATTTTATTAACTGTGAAAACATGCAAAATTGTATGTAGAAACTATTCCTACTTCTTAAATAATCTATAGTCATTATCTGAATTTATGAATTTAAAACAGTGGTAAATTAGCATATAAATGTGAGGAGGTATTTGAAACATGCACTTCCTTCCAGAAGGAAAAAGCAATACAACTGCTATTGACTGATCATGTTTCAATGTGTTTTAAACTAACATGCACAGTTGATTGTATTTTTTTTTTACATTAAGTTATACAGTGTCCTGGTGAGAGTGGGAGGAATTGTACAACTGCTTTCTTACGGCATTAGGTGAGGTCACCCGTTTAGTTTCATTGTGTGGAATAATAGATAAAGCTGGGTTGGTTGGTGAATTCAGGTGGATGGGAGCCTAATGTGATTTGGCATCGAGGTAAGGATTCATGGAGTTATATCCACAGGATATATGCATTATGTGATAGTAAGAGACATTTACACCCCAGAATATAAGGGCAGGGCAGCCTCAAGTGACATCACCAGATCATCTGCAGCGTCAACCAACCGACTCAAATATATATCCTCCACACCACCACTCCCCTCTTTTTCTCACTATTAGCAAGCCTTCCATAGTCTTCATGTTTCTTCTTTAAAAGCAAGACCTATGCTTACTCAAGTGAAAAGCAAATAAGAAAAACCAAAGGAAAAGAATAAAAAACTAGCTTGAGTACAATTTTCACTAAATTGACATTCGGATGATAGGAATAACACTAAAATGTTAAAGGAAAATTTAACTTGAATGATCTAGACAGATAATGAATAAAAGAGAAAGTCAGGAAGAAGCAAAGAGAGGGAGGAGAAGAAAGAAAAGAAAAATAAATTAAGGAAAAGAAAAAAAAAACAACTAAATATCCCTGAAACGAAGTCTTGTTTTTAACTCTGATTTGTCCTGAAACCAGGCAACTGTGGGAATCTTGAAATTCTTTCTAAAAAAATTAAATAACAAAGAGGAAGAGGACTCCATTGCTTGGTTTCAGTTCTCTTCTAATTTTTCATAGCTTATGTTTTACTTACAGGCGTTTGTTACAGCAAAACTGTTGGCTGTCTCAATGTTGTCCACATGAGGTACCAAATTAAAAGGAGCTTCCGACGCATTGGGGCTGGTGTTATGAAGAAAAATTGCTAATCGAAAAGCAGTGTATTCCTGATCTGTGTTTCGGATGAAGAGACCACCTATTAAAAACAGCAGGAAAAGCACATTCACTGTTTCCTCTTGTCAACATTATACCCACCCCAAGCACAGTCAAATCTACTGCCATTCACAAGCACATACAATTAAAGAGCTATACCTGCCACATCTAGGGAGACTGCCCTTTGTCCCTAAGGTGCATGCTTAGTATTTAGTCTTTAGAGCAGCTCAGCTTTTTCTTGTCCTAATGTGTCTTGCTCACAATGACCTCTGAGACCATTTAGTGAATGTTCCTTTCTCTCCCTTGCCCTCCCCCTGATTCCCAGCACACTGCTACATCAGCCACCTCAGGGCAGCTCTCTCTAAGATGCATGCAGATGAGCGGAAAAGAGATTTACATTAAAATACGGAAATGAAGGGATATAGTGCCACACAGGGAAGAGGGAAATCAGAAAGAAGAAATGAACTTTATTTTCCTCCAGCTCGTGGACTCAGCCTAATTAACTCCGTTTTATGCACAGTCCACGAGAAATGATGCAGTGTTGAGGCTGGGCTTAGCTGGAAGAAATTCAATAGCTGCGTCCCATTAAAAGACAGTAGAGGAGAATAGCAAGAAAAGCCAAGGATGGAGGGTGTCCCTGGAAACAGAGTCGAGGTAGAGAAATAAGGGCAAAAGCTTCAAGAAGAAAACAAAATAAAAGGGGAGAAGCTTCCAGGAAAGGGATCTAACTTTGGAATCTGCTAACTGGTAGCAAGAAACGGCAGGGCGTGCGGGTGGAAATGTCTTTTTCCTCAAACAGTGTCTTTCTGTAATAGCAAGAAAGCTGCGGCGTCCAGAATGGGAAGAAGTGGATTTTTTTTTTCTTTTTTAAACAAACTCGACATCACTTTATGCTTTAGAGAAAGGGATGGAAATAAATATCATATAAAATACAACCAAATTCCCCGAAGACTTTCCCCCAACTTATTTCAATCCTACTTAAGCGACTATAGGTAAAGGTGGAAATAGGGCTATGGGCTGAGAACGCATGGGTGGGCTGCCCTGGGTGTATTCCAACGGAACCTGCACTAAAGAGGAAGTCTTTTTGCAAAGGAGAGAAAGGAAGAGGAGGGAAACAGAGGGGAAGGGAACTGCTGAAGGTTTCCCTGAATTGCTTATCAGCAACTCATTTAACTCACTTTCGGATATCTGCTACAACCAGCCACATGCACACCCCATCGGAGCACACCTTACCTATTTGCACGCTGCTCGGAAAGGCTCCCATGGCGAGTCCCCAAAATCCAGAAAATAACAAGACAATCTGTCTGGAAATAATCCTCATCTTCTTTTCTCCTCTCCCTGGCGCGCGCTCTCTCTCTTTCTCTCGCACTCTTCCTAAAGGCTGTTCAGAGAAGCATTGAAGACGATGGCGCTAAAATTAAAATCAACCAAAAAAAAAAAAAAAAAAAGAAAAGAAAGAAAAGAAAGAAAAAAAAGGAAAGAGGTTTCGGTGGTTTAAGATTATGACTAGTTCTCCTTAGCAATCCATCGCGAGCCGCCAGATTTTTCCCGCAGTCTCCATAGCCCTGGGAGAGGTTTTCTGTCCGGCTGCAAATGTTGCACATGCAAAAGATGGTGGTGGAGCGTCTAGTGGCTGCTCGCAGGGATGAGACATGCGCTCTATCTTTGCCTCACTCGCACTCGCGCTCGCCCCTTGCTTTCTCACATACACACAAACACTGGCGCCGCGGCCGCCACACGCGCTCTCCAGCTCGCATCAGCCGACATCCCCCAGCAAGCCTGCACCAGCCCGGAGCATCGCTGCCCTCCTGGCGTCCCCTCCTCGAGCGCGCACTCCCTCCGCACGCCCCTCGCCCACCGCTCGGCTGGCTTCACCCCCTGGGTGCTCACCGGAGCGCCCCAGTCTCCCGGACGCTCCGGAGCCAGTCTGGTGTCAGGTTTTCCCTTCTGACCACTCGCTGACTCCCTCCTCTTTTCTTCCTCGGTTCGCAGAGGGACCGACTCTGGGGATGGGCACCCCCAGCGCCCCTCTCTTGGTTTTCCTGGCACCTCTGCTTCTCGGCTGCGCTAGGCAGAAAATCCGCCCACGGGCCAGGTCTGCAAGCCCCAATCGGGGGCTCCGGGGGGTTAGTACCTCCCCATGCCCCCAGGCCCCTGCCGCATCCTTGCAGGTTCGTGAGGAGGACGGGCTGCCTCCCTCTCCTACAGTCCTGGCTTCCCTCTCAGCCTAGCCCTCTTCTGCCACTGGGCTGCGCGCGGGGGACTCCGGTCCTCGCTGCAGCAAAGATTTCTCACCAGCAAACAGCCCGGGAATCTGGAGAGCCTGACAAGGGAATGGATGAGGTGAAAGGGTTCAGAGAGGGATGGGAGGAGAAAAGACAGGCAAAGGGCAGCCCCTGGCGGGTTTAAGAGGCCAGGACCAGGATGAAAGAATTGGAGGAGGTAAGGATGGGGAAGAGAGCCAGAGAAGTTGAAACATCCTGGGAAGGGGAGGAGGGGGTAAAAGGTTATTTTAAATAACTGACGAAGTTTAGGGTACTGAACGGGATGGGGAAAAGACTGAGAAATGAAAATTGAAAGAGGCCTCTAACATTCTCTTGGAAAGGCATGAAGCAGGGATAGGAATAAGAACTGCGTGAAGTGTAAAGTAGGAAAAGTGATTAAAGATTCGATTGCTTTCTATACAGTCACCCATTCCGGAGGACTCTTTCCTTCTGTGCTGTGGCCCATTGCAGGAGCAGGAGGGACACAGCGCAAAGGCTGATGAAGGACCAGAGGGGCAGTGCTTGGGGCAGTGGGCACAGGTGTCTGACAGGAAGATAGTGTTTCGTGCACATCTCCTCTTGTCTGGGACTCTGGAATGCTCACTCTGCTCCACGCCACCTCCAGGTAGACTTAAGCACTTCAGTGATGATGTCAATAGTTGTTTTGACTGGGTAGAAGTGAAAATGAATTATCCTAGAAAGTTTTGGGGTTACAGTCTCACTTGCTCTCCAGAGTCACCTTTAAGATTGTCCTTTCATCTGCCTGTCCTGGACTGAGCTTGAACCACACTCAGAAGCAGTCACTGTGGTAGCCGTGAGTGACCGGTTTCTGATTTCCTCTGTATGGTTTGAGATTTCCTGATCTAGTTAGTAAATACAATCTCCTGTTCCAATAAGCTGTGTGAGAGAATCATTAGAAGGAGAGGTTCTCCTTAAACGTTAGGGAACCTAGGGTGATGTCTGCCATTAAATTTTTAAAAAGAATATAGCAAATGCCTAGGTTTGCCTGATATAATATTTGAGACTACAATGCTTAAAGTGGAATTCTTGCAAGGGACTTACAGAAAGCCTGGTAACGGCTTTTTGAAATATACATTACCTTAACTCTTTCAAAATACTTTATTTGGTGTCACTGATTACCTGTATTTGTAGTTTGTAGATGACATTTTAAAATCCCTGCTAAAACTTGAGTGCTTTTCTATTTCCTAAGTTTTGAATTTTATTTTTAAAATTGCATCTTTAAAATAAGTGTCTGCTTTCCCGTTACATTTCACCACAGATTGTTATGAAAAAAAAAACCTAATTGTAACTGTATTTTACAAATCATACATTTGTCATTTTAGTTTGTGAAGTTTTAGTCTTGCAAGTCAAGTGAAATTTGAAGCATTTTTCCTTTTTTTATTTTTCTGTGTTAAAAAACAAGGCTGTGAATAATAGCATTCTGTTTTCTCTTGAAAAAGGATAATAGAGTATGACACATAAAATTCAAGTTAAATTAAAATTTCAAAATCCACCAAACTGTTAAACTCATCACTTGCTTGGGTAACTAGTGAAGCTCTTCCTGATCCAGAGGCAATTATTAACTTTAATTCTTCTCAAAATTGAAAGATTTCAGTTTTCATATGATGTAATAGCATCATTGATATAGATGCAGGACAAGTTTTTTTTCCCCACTTAACTGTCATGATAACACCTGGACTAATATAACCACAGATGACACAACTATATTTTTCCAAAATAGTAATCCAGTTGTTTTTAATTTCTATTTTCCCAAGTAGTTAAAACCTCTATTTTACTTTCTAAACCTAAACTCTCTTTATCTGTATTATATACACATATATTTATAAATGTATGTATCAAATATATTTTCTCTGTATGATACATAGAAATATCATATATACATATATTATATACGTATATACATGTATATAGATGTACATATATGTCAAATAGTTATATATTAAGCACCTATGATGTGTATTTATTCTCCAAGTGTTTGAGATATAAAGTTGAACAAAACAAAATCCCTGATATTCTTAGAAGACTCTTAATGTTTATGAATGCTCACTAATGTGCAAGGTATTGTGCTGAAGCCATACATATATTACCTGATCTACAGAAAATTTTAGGTATCCTTGCATTTGTTAGGTAACCCAACTAAAGATTTAGATTCTTTCTCAAGATTATATTCTTGGTAAGTGATGAAACCATAACTAAGGATGGGACTCAAGTTGTCTGATTTCAGAGACTGGGCTGTCTTTATTAAAACCTGCTGTGTTAATGAGTTTAAGGAGTGACGAGGGGTCTGGGAGCTGAAAAGTAAACTACAAGAATCCTAGCATTCAGAAAGGTAGTGTGTTCTACCTGAAAGACCTCAGGCTTTCAGACTAATAATTAGTAACTGGTTTCAGATTACAGGCCCTCAATTTCTTAGCTGTATTGACTTGGATATATTACCTAACATTTCTTTTCTGACAGGATATAAGTAAACTTTCAACACAGTTCTGGCACATAACTGGCAACTCTTGTCAATAATGAGTTGCCCCCCAAAATGTGATAAAGGCTCTTATAGAGTGAGGTGCAGAGTGCCATGTGAGCAAAATAGAGTGTCTAACTCTGACTTTGAGGGAATTCAGGGAGAACTCACAGAGAGAAAAATAAAATTGAACTGAGTTGCTATGTGTTTGTAGGGATTATCAAGTGGAGAAAAATTATGTCTTTCTAGACACTGCTAAAAGCTTGGTAAAACTAGACTTCAGGTTATATGAGGGGAAGTAGTGGAAGTGCGGCTGGAAAGCAAAGCAAGAGATGGCTCGGCACCATCTCACTCAGAAGCATTGTCTTCGTCTCATAGAGACAGAGAAACAATGAACGGTTATAAGCAAGGGGGCAAAATGACCAGATTTGTACTTTAGATCAGAAATCTGATGCTAGGAAACCAACCCATATTTTTAATAATAAACCTTTCATTTGGAATAATTTTATTTACATAAGTGTTTCTAATTAACTACGGAGAGTTCCCCTGTACCCTTCATCCAATTTCAGTTTTCCTTAATGTTATCATCTTACATTACTCTGGTACCTTTGTCAAAAATAAGAAACTGACACAGGTATGTCACTGTTAATTAAACACCAGACTTTATTTACAGTTATATCAGTTTTTCCATTAGAGTATTTTTCTGTGCCAGGATCTAGCTCCGGACACCTCATTATATTTAGTTGTCATAGCTCCTTGTTCTGTTTTGTGACAGTTTCATCTTCGTTTTTCATATGACATCAACAGCTTGATAAGTACTGGATAGGTGTTTGCAGAATGTCTCTCAATTGGGATTTGCCTGATACTTTTCTCAGGATCAGACTGGGGTTATGGATTTTCAGAAAAGAGTACCATACAGGTGAAATGCTCTTCTCAACACATCATACAATGGAATCCATGATATCCCCTGACGTCACTGGTGACATTAACCTTCATCAGTTGGTTAAAGTGTTTTTGCACATTTTATCCACTCTAAATTAACTGTTTGTTTGTTTGTTTTTATTCCATACTGTATTCCTTGGAAGTGAGTAACTAACTATATCCTACTCTCCACGAGGGGAGAGTATCTACATAAATTACTTGAAATTTTTGTATTGAAGCATCGTCTCTTCTCTCCCATTTTGAAAAAACGTAGTCATTAATTTAAATCAGTGTGGACACATGTATATTTATGTGTTTATATTATTTTTTAACATTTAAGCACAGGGATACATGTGCAGGTTTGTTACATAGGTAAACTTGAGTCATGGGGGTTTGTTGTACAGATCATTTTATCACCCAGATATTAAGCCTACTACCCATTAGTTATTTTTCCTGATCCTCTCCCTTCTCACACCCTCCACCCTCCAAAAGGCCCCAGTGTGTGTTGTTCCTCTCTGTGTGTCTATGTGTTCTCATCACTTGGTTTACTGTTCCTGTGTCAGTTTGCTAAGGATCATGGTCTCCAACTCCATCCATGTTCCTGCTACAGACATGTTCTTGTTCTTTTTTATGGCTGCATAGTATTCCATGGTGTATATGTATCACATTTTCTTTATCCAGTCTATCATTGATGATAATTTAGGTTTATTTTATACTTTGGGTTATATAGTCTGATACTATGCTATTTGTTATTTATTGTGCTGTTCAAGTTGGTCCAGCTTTGGACATTAGGAGCTATTGATATATGTCCATCCTTTTGTTTTCTGAACATTTCCAGCCTTATTGTCACTATAGGAAGCTGTCTGTACATTACCTTTTATATTCCTTGCCCTAGCCTTAGTATGAGCCTTTTCAATAAGGAGTCCTGATTCTTTTCATTGCAGATTGGTATTTAAAAACCAAGATCTAGCAATGGGGTTGCTAACTGTTACTGAGTTGTCATTGCTTCCAGACTCTCACATAGGACAGTGCTTGGTTATACATGTATAACCCGTGTTGGTGTACATACCTATAATTGTTTCTCTATCCATCTATCTATGTATTAAGTTAAAAATGAGTTGTTACCGATGTTCGCAACTAAAATTCAGTACTACAGCATTCATTCTAATCTCCCTTCTTGCTTATCCGTACCTTACTTCTCCAACATTAAGAAACCTAGTTCCCACAGCCAAGTTAAATACATTTATCTATTATATTAAACCTAAACTTAAGTTCTCCAAAAACAATTGAATTTTTGGTACTATATTTTTGTTTTCAGCTACTGGTGATTACTGAAAACCCATGTCTATTATTGTTAGTTATCTGTATTCCTAGGAAACATCAAATTTCACAAACATTAATATAAATATATGGCACTTTTTGTGATATTCTGTCCTAAAAGAAGTGAGTACATTATTCAAATGACTACCAACAATTTAATAAATTTATTTGTGTATTTACTAGTTTAATGATTTCTTTGCAAAACCTAGTTTTTTTCAGTGCCTATATATTTTTCTCCAGTTAAGCTGATACTTTCCAGTTTTCATATATTTTGCTGCTGTCACTTTCCAGCAATAGGAACAATACCCTAGTGCCTCACAGAATATATTGCTTTACCTTTTTATCTATCTGTCAACCTTGCATGAAATCAGCACACTAATCTTGCCCTATAGCAGTTGCTTGATTAATCTTTTGTCATCTGTCTACCTCACATGGTCTCTCCATGAAACTGATTGACATTGTGCGTGACTTTAATGCTGATAAATTATCTCTCTTCCAGGACTACAGAATCCTCATTACACCAAAAAGATTACTTTTCTTGTTTTATGTTCCTCATTCTTCTCTCAAGTCACTGTAATTGAAAGAGGTCACTGAGTAGAACTTGGCAGTCTTTCCCTCCTTCACTCATCCATTCACCATATATTTCTAGAACATTTTCTGTGGATCACAGTATCATGAGGGAACGGAAAGTGTTTTATTCATCACGGTATTTGTTCCCAACAAGTAAAGGATCGCAAACATAGACATATATGCAAAAACACACACATAGAAATGAGTACAAAGAATTATGTTGTAAACCCTGCTTTGGTGGTAGAAACCTGATGTGATCTCTTTCTAGGCAAAAATCATATTATATTAAGCAAGAATCTACTTCTATCCCACTGCTGGTTCTGCATCTCAATGCCTATTCTAGGAGAGGAATAGTCAATTAAAGCATCAGGGAAAGAAAATATTTGTACTGGGTTATAAAAGGCTGAAAGGTTTTCATGAGCTAAGAAACAGAGGCGCATTCCAGACAAAGGGAAGAGGTGATTGTGTATTAGTTGAACAACGAGTAGCCAAAGGTAGGAATCATGATGGGGATTAGTAGCCAATCAGGCTCAGGAGTTTGATTAAAGCCAGATTCTGGCGCCCCGCGCGGTGGCTCACGCCTGTAATCCCAGCACTTTGGGAGGCCGAGGCGGGCGGATCACGAGGTCAGGAGATCCAGACCATCCCGGCTAACGCAGTGAAACCCCCCGTCTCCACTAAAAATACAAAAATTAGCCAGGCGTGGTGGCGGGCGCCTGTAGTCCCAGCAGCTCTGGAGGCAGAGGCAGGAGAATGGCGTGAACCCAGGAGGCGGAGCTTGCAGTGAGCAGAGATCCTGCCACTGCACTCCAGCCTGGGCGGCAGAGCGAGACTGTGTCTCAAGAAAAAAAAAAAAAAAAAAAGCCAGATTCTGAAAAGCCTGGCATAGAGCAGACATTAATACGTATTTTGCTACATAAATTGACAAAAGACACAAAATGAAGCTTTGAGCTATACATTTTCCTCCTTGTTAACAGTATTTATCCTAATGAGTCACAGGTCATTTTGTTAACGTGATTCATATTCAGGCAGTTGATGGAAAATTAATAAAATTATTTGGATAATCAAATTCTTTTAAATGATATCTCAGATTTTGTAAAGTGAATATTAAATTATGTTTTCCAATTTAAACATCTGCACTGGACACATTCACAAAATACATATTCAGTATTTTTAAATGTAATTTTACTTTGTACAATATAACAGTAGTGATTATAATTGTCTTTTATTAAGCAACTACTATGATATAATAATGCAATTTTTAGTTCCTAAAACAATCTTTCAATTGAGATAGCATTTGCCTTGTTTTAGAGATGAGAAAATTAAAGCTCTGAGGGATGAAGTAACCAGCCCAGTGTCACTCAGCTAGCAATGGTGCAGCAGAATTCAAAACAACATCTTTTTGGCATAGAGCCTGTGCTTTTTGGACTATACATTTCTCATATATATGTATGAGAAAAGCTAAGAGTTTGGTTTGTACCAGTTATCTTTGCTTTGGCTCTGATTTAAGCTGAAGCTTATACAACATTTAGGAAGGAAAAAATATGTACTTTTACAGTTTTGTAGAAATATCAGTAACTACTGAGACAATTAACACAATGCCATGGTAACAAAGTTAGATAAATAGTATTTAATTCTTTAGGCCGGGTGCGGTGGCTTACACCTGTAATCCCAGCACTTTGGAAGGCCAAGACAGTCATATCACTTGAGGTCAGGAGTTCGAGAACAGCCTGGCCAAAATGGTAAAACCCTGTCACTGCTAAAAATACAAAAATCAGCTGGCGTGGTGGTGGGTGCCTGTAATCCTAGCTACTCAGGAGGTTGAGGCAGGAGATTCAGTTGAACCTGGGAGGAAGAGGTTGCAATGAGTAGAGATCACGCCACAGCACTCCAGCCTGGGCAACAAAGCAAGACTGTATCTCGAAAAAGGAAGGAAGGAAGGAAGGGATGGATGGAGGGAGGGAGGGAGGGAGGGAGGCAGGGAGGGACGAAGGAAGGAAATTTATTTATTTCATATGGAAATATTTACTTTGTTGGGAAGGGTAAAATATTAAATAAAGAAAATAAAGGTGGACACTCTAGTTATATAACCATCTTGGTTCTTAAAACAATTCAAACTGATTTACACTAGAGTCACACCTCCATCTCCAAGTTCCTATTATTCATCATATTCATCTCAGTTTGTTGAGTTTAAGTTGTGTACTGAACATTCTCTCTCCTGTTTTCTGATTCCTTTCCCCCATTTCTTTTCTAGCACCTGAGGAGATTGAGTTGTATATATTTAGTCACACCTTATCCTACTACCTTCCCTTGAAAATATCCTTGGCTGTGACTGAATATATTTTGCATAGCATTTTTAACAGAAATAACATGGAGCCATAATGACCTCACTTTCAAGACGGTTTTGCTCACAAACCTCTCTGCTTTCCTGACCCTTCAGAAACTCTCATGCAATGTGTGTTTTCCTAGAAGTCTAATGTAGAGATTATAGATAAGGCATTTATAAAAGTACTGAATACTACTGTCTCTAAATATACCATTGAAATCTGAATATTTGTTCAATACTTTCGTTCTGGAAGAAATAAAAAATATAGTGTTAGTAAGAAAGCATATTTTAAAATTACATGAAATATGATATTATTCTGCATATAAAGCCACATGCATATTAGAGAAAGCATTATTCGTGGTTCTCTAGAGATTGTAGAATTCTGGGTGATTTTTATTTTCTTTTGCATACTTTTATCCCAGACAATATCATTCAAACTAAAATTTATTGTTGCTATTATTGTGGTCATTTTGATATTGATGGTTTAATATATCCTTTAAAATCATCACAATAAGTGATAAATACAGACTTTTTAAAGCCAATAAATTGTAATCTGTTGTGCATGTATACTAAATCAAATTGGTTATGCTTTTATGTATTGTTATTATAGATTGATAATATCTACTAATCTCTCACTGTTCTGAAATAGTGGGTGGGATGCAGCTACAGATGAAATTGATAACTAGATTCCTCATAGGAATTTTGTGGGTAGGGATAGATATTGCACATAAGTAAAATATTTGATCGTATGGTACAAATGTAAAATATTACTTGAGATATATTTTAATAAAATCACAAAAAAGTGAACATGAAGCCTACCCTAAGAAAATAAATATTAAGTATGTAATAAGGGAGATTACTTTCAAATGAAATATTAAGTTTCATGGATTGATGGAGAAAAGTGGGTGAAGTTTGCTTTGCAATTGGAGAAAATAAAATGTGTAGGGCCGGGAGTGGTGGCTCATGCCTGTAATCTCAGCACTTTGAGAGGCTGAGGTGGGAGGATCACCTGAGGTCAGGAGTTTGAGACCAGCCTGGCCAACATGGTGAAACCCTGTCTCTACTAAAAATACAAAATTAGCCAGGTGTGGTGGTGTGCACCTGTAGTTCCAGCTACTTGGGAGGCTGAGGCAGGAGAATCATTTGAACCCAGGAGGCAGAGGTTGCAGTAGGCGGAGATGGCACCATTGTACTACAGCCTGGGTGACAGAGCGAGACTCTATCTCAAAAGAAAAAAGAAAAGAAAATGTACAAAACCCAAAACCAAACAAATTAAAATGCTTCTAGAACAAGTATAAAAGCATGCAGATTGTCTTGCTTGGAGGTAGAATCCATATCAAATAAGCAAAATCCCTGGTAACATGGGCAGAGAAGGAACATATCAAATGGACAGAAAAATTGAGTATCAGACAGGCTATGAAAAGGCACTGAAGCGGGGTTGTATGTTTTCTACTGGTAGACTTTCTGGGCATTTGCAGAGTTTTCATTCTAGATGCATAGAGTAAGCTAGAACTGGGGTGAGACAGATTATAGGCATAGAAAACACAAGGCATCTGTGTATACCTCAATCTTATGAAGGACGTTGAACATTGCATAGTAGTATCAAAATTCTTAACTGCACCTTTGCAATAGTAAAATAAAATAAGCATATGTCCCAATATATATTTAGCAGTATTTATAAATTACATCTATATATGTTTTATATATATATATATTTGCACTTCAACACAATGTATTTGAAGATAAGATCATGCAAATATAAAAATTGAAATGTAGAAAATACAGGTATTTTAAGTGAATTTTACTTGATAAATGTCTTAGTCTCGTGTTAATTGTTTTCATAATCTTTAATAAAGTCTAATAAGATTATATGCTTTATATTATTGTATATTTTATTTATTGATGTTTTTGTGAGAGCAATGTGATCAAATGTACTCTATTCATTCTGAAATTTTGCTTTAATATTTTATGCTACAGATATTTGAAGATGGGGTTATAATTTCAGTTTGTTTTGTACTGGTTTTAATGGCTATCAAAGTTGAAAAATACACCATAAAAACATATAAATCCAACTAGAACAAGTTTACTGTGTTGTGTTTACCTTGTCACCACATTTATTTTTCAATCCTATACACTAATTGCTAAAAGCTGATGTGTTGAAATTTTCATTCAATTACTCTTGTGATCTTATCAAAAGTCTTATTTTAGTAATAGGTTTAAAATATACAGGAACTGTTTATTTGAAGACTATATTCCTGAGTTTTTCAACTAAGTGGACTTGTTTCCTAGGAGATACATGTACATTTTTGTCAGCAACAAAACCACATGATGATAGATAAACTCCCAAGTATCCATTTTCAGAATGACTTTTTTTATAATATGAATTGTTTTTACCAAAAAGCAGTTATTTTCTCAATGGCTAAAATGTCATCTATACTTTAAAGGGACAAAGTATTTGTTTCTACACAACTGCTTCAAAAATATATACATGTATACATAATTTTGTTATATAACACCTTACTGACAATGACTTTCCCTAACGAGTCAGCATATGCAGAACACTGTCTTTTTCTTAAGCTTGCCAGTTCTTTCAAGTAATTTGCCTTAGATTAATAACAAACCTCAGTGTTGTCATATGGTTTTTATAGTCAGTCCGCTTCTTATTGCAAATAATGGCAAATATCTAGAATTTAAAGACCTGTGTTTATGAAATTTACCATTTTGAAAGCATCTTGTAGTATGTAACGGCCCAGAAAAGCTGAAAGCAATGATTTAAGGCATCCTTATTAACCCTTTTAGATTGTATGAATCCCACTATTTTTATGAAAAACTCATGTATGATGGATGGACATATGGAAGGCTAACATAGGGACCAGGGGTCTTACCCCAAAATGTAAATCTGCATATTAAAACTTCGTAAACTGTGTTTTTCTCATAATTTGATAAAGCAGTGGCACATAGTAGTAGATGGATTTCAGAGAGAGCAGTGGTAGGACTGCATGAAATGACTAGGTGTGGGATTTAGAGATCAAGAGAAAAGATGGCTGCTGGGTTTCCAGCTTTGGTGAATGGGCTAATGAGTTTTTGATGCAATGTAGACATAATAAAATGAAAATGTTGGGGGTAAGAAACCAGTTAATTTTGTGATTCATTCGTTACTTTGATAGATACATAATTGATACATCTTATTGGCAATAGAACATTTGAATCCAAGGCTCAGCTAAGAGATGTGGACCAGATGTGTAAATCTGGGACAGATCAGACTACCTGCGGTCACTTACCAGATGGAAGGGACAGGAAATTCAGGGAAAGGGTGTTGGATAGGAAAATAAAATGACCTAGGACTTTTTCCAGAGGACTAGGGTGGGCAAAAGGAAGAAGCCCACCTTAAAGAGAAATCAGACTAAGCAGACAGCCAGGAGAAAATGATGTCAGGGACTTCAGGTGAAAATAGAGTATCCAGAAGAGAAAATGATAACTGTGCCAAATGCTACAGAGATCACACGTAACACAGTCAGAAAATTGGTCATTCATCATAAAAAGCTATTGATGAAGTTCCAAAAGCAGTTTAAGCTTATCAGTGAGTGATAAAATCTAGTTGTAGTGAGTTGAGAGGAAATGAGATGACAGCATGAAACTCAGTAAAAATGTCTTGCTCCTATATTTTTGAACATACCATTCTCTCTATCTGAAAAATAACTTTTATCTTCTCTTTTTGTATGTTTATTCCCCCTCATTTTTTTCTTCTTGTATTCACTTTTGCTGTGATTCTCCAGCTAAATGCAATTACTTAGTATTCTGCATTTCTATAGCACCCAGGTGCTAGCCTCATACTCTGCTGAAGACATTTCAGTTTATATTCATTTAACTGGTAAGAGGGGAAGCTCCTTCAGAGCTCATGCAACATCTGGGATAGAGCCTGTCTTTCTGAAGTAGGGCCTTTCACCTTTTCCAGATTATGGCATGAGGTGTTGAAATTAAAATTGAAATGTACTTGAAGACATCGATATCAGGCTTGGATATAGATATATAAGTGTTTGAAGTATTAAACAATAAAAATAAAAATAACTAACTGCAAATTATAAGGAAAATACCGAGTTATGAATTTGTATCAAATGTCAAAATAATTGTTTCAGTTTTTAAGAAGAAATTTGAGCTTCCTGTGCATATATTTTTGCTTCTATTTTTCTTTAAATCAGGTTTTATGTTTCAAATGGCTAAATTGAATTCTTCATGACTTTTTATTTGCTAACTTCTCCACACTTTTGTTAGTTTTCATTTGTGAAAAACTCTGTTTACAGAAGTTAGTAATAAAAATGTCAACTGATTCGTATAATTATTTACCACTTTTCTAGAGTTGAGATTATTAAACAATTTGTCTTTTTAATTGACAACTTTAAATTGAAATTTCTTATAACAATGGGTACAGATCTTGGCTGTAATAAAAGTTTCTCGTGTTGAGTATTAAAAGAATAATGAGTCTTGATTTACACAACTCACATGCATTGTTGGAAGAGTGACCTCACCGCCAAAGTGAAGCTATTGCAAAGCACATCAATTGCAAAGGGACAGAGTATCTGAAGATAAAATTTGGGGGTGATCAATTGAAGAGTCACCTGTTAGGAAACCCACTCAACTTCCCTGTCCTCTGACCCTCAGTTGATAGTGCCTTGGGCTGAGTTACAAGCTCCACAGGCATCTAGAAGAATTCTTAAAAGTTTCATAGGCCTCTTCTGTAATGGGCAATGTTCTGCAGCTGGCTATGTGGTGGATCCAGCCATGTAGTGGATCACTTTTGTGGTTGTCCTCTGGGCCTTGCAGATGAGCAGTGAGTGCTAATTATCCTTCAATGTGCTAACTGCCTGTGAGACAGTAGATAATGACTCCAATTCATCTGAATCTCCCTTAGAGAAGACATGGATAATTCTACTTTAATATAGATTTGACTGGCCAAAAAGTTTCTGGAAGCTCCAATCATCATCTGTTTATCCCCAAAACTGAGGTCAGTATTCTATGACACACCTATAAGACTTCCACAGCCTATAAGCCTTCCATTTTATTCGCAGAAGAAAAGGGACAGAGGGAAGAAGAGAGAAGAAGAGAGGAAGGGAGAGGAGAGGAGGGGAGGGGAGGGTAAGGGAGAGCAGAAGAGAAGAGAGATACAAAAGTTTGTATGATTGTTGAACACCTACAATGTGAAGATGCTGTGTTTTGGGGAAAGATACCAAAGTGCATAAAAACACCCTGCCTAGAGATATAAAACTCACAAGTAACTGTAGTACAAGATAGAGTGCTGTAAACATAATAAGGGTAAAACTCAGTTCTGTGAGAATCCATTTAAAACTGATTAGTCTGTATCTATAGAAATTAAATAATCTCAAATAGGTAATGAATATATAATATGAAATAAGGGCTTGAAACTTGATGGTTTCTTTATATTTTACACAGCAAAACAATTTGTAAATTTTCAAACAGCCAACGGTTTTGTTTATAAAAGATAAATGACAAAAAGTAAAGCAATGCCTGAACACAATATATAATGTGTATTTATCGGATTCAGAAAAAAGCATTTTAATTACTTTCACTGGTTTGGTTACACTCTAGGTATAATAATAATCTAGGTATAAGAATAATACATGTCTAGTCTATGGAAAAATTAATTCTTGTACTGGCTTGTAAAAACATACAAAGATTGAAATTCTTCAATAATTCAGATACTCTGAAGTAGTCTAAGAAGACTTACATTGTACTAGAAGATGGCACATTGCCTCATATTCCTGAATGTTATATTATTTTCATGGAAGAGTAATACTAAACTGTGATTTCTACATGAAGGAGTGTGAACTTTACAGAAAGCTCTTCACATTTAAATCAGGTAAACTTTAAGCCACATACTACCTTAAACATAGTGGTAAGGACATGTTGCAATGATGTAGTCATTTGTCAACAGGAGACCACTGACTTCTGTCATGAAATAATTATATTGCCATTATATAAGTTTGTATATTGACTGGTTTGTTAATGAATTGCAATAAACAATAACTTGAAATGTTAAGTGGCATTTTGTGCAGATTTTTTATTATTCTTGAATGCTTTTTAATAGTTAATATTAGGCCCTTCATAATTCTTTATCATAGCATTTGATAGTCATGAAACTGCCTTTGACTATATATAAACATTGATATTAGTCTTTAAAATCTACTATTAAGACAAGCACCAACATAATTAAGAAACATAATACAGGTACCTCTTAGACCCTTTGTGTTACTGTTAACAACATAATAGAGATACTGCTTAGTTCCTTTGTGTTGCTATAAAGGAATACCTGCAGCTCGGTAACTTATAAAGAAAAGAGGTTTAGTTGGCTCATGGTTCTGCAGGCTGTACAAGAGGCATAGTGCCAACATCTGCTTTTTGTGAGGGTTTCAGGCTGCTTCCACTCATGGCAGAAGGAGAGGGAAGGTGGTGCATGCAGAGATCACATGATGAGAGAAGAAGCAAGATATAGGGGATATAGGGGAGGCGTCAGGCTCTTTTAAACAACCAGCTCTAGTGGTAACTATTAGAGAATTCACTCACTACTACAAGAAAGGCACCAAGGCATTCAGGAGGAATATGGCTCCATGACCCAAACTCTCCCATTAGGCCCCACCTCCAATATTAGAGATCATATTTCAACATGAGAATTGGAGGGATCAAACAAACTGTAACAGGTACCAAAATATTTTCTGAGTGTTTATTTCATATATAATTAAATCATATATTACATATTGAAATTTATTACATAATTAGAAACAACACTTGATATATTCAAAGCTGTCTATTTTGCTAATTAAAAGATATCTATGCTAGTATTGAAAATACATTTTGTAACTTAATTGCATTTCTTTCTAAATATGTAACAAACTTGAAATCTTAATTTTTTATATATTTTTAGAGATCTAAAACCCATTGTTATGAGTTTCCATGTATAATGTACTTATTAGAACATTACAGTTCTAAATACACTGAAAATTCTCATCTGCATTTTTAATGTAATTTTTGTTTTAAAATAGTTTTAGATTTACAGAGAAATTATAGAGTATAAAAAATTCCAGAAACTCCACACCCAGTTTCTCCTATTATTAATATTTTGCATTGGTATTGTACATTTGTGATCTATATTGGTAAATGTTCCATGTGTGCCTGAAAAGAATGTATATTCTGCTATTATTGGATAGACTATTTTATAGATATCCATTAGATCATGTTGATGATAGTACTGATCACGTCTTTATTCTTACTGATTTTCTTCTTGCTGGATCTGTCAGTTACTGAGAGTGGAACATTAAAAACTCTAACTATTATGATGAATTTGTCTGTTTTTCATTGTGGTCCTATAAATATTTGCACCAAGTATTTTAATGCCTTGTTATTAGGTGCATACACATACAATACTTTTGGAGATTTGACTCCTTCATCATTATGTAATGCCCGTCTTTATCCCTGGTAATTTTCCTTATCTTGAAGTCTGCTTTTTCTGATATTGATATATTGGTCCCCAATTTCTTTTTATCAGTTGTTAACATGGCATATCTTTTTCCACTTCTTTATTCTTAACCTAGCTCTGTTTTTATATTTAAAGTGATTTTTTGTGGACAACATATAGTTGGGTCTTGTTTTATTTTTGTATTCTGACAATCTTTGTCTATAATTAGTGTTTTAGATCAGAATTAAATATATAATAATCTATTTTATCACCTAGGATTTAGAAAGAACTTTGAGACAGTAAATCTAAAAGCTAAAATATAAAAGGCATGTCTATGCATATGTCAAGTGTTTCTGATTGTGAAAGTATTTTATGTGTTCTTACTATAAAAAGTGAGAATTCATAATGGTTTGAGAAAGTGATTATGTGCATTTAAAAGATTGATATCTATAATGTTCAAAAGATTTTTACAATTCGTAATTCTAATGAAGCCAAAGGAAAATGGTATAGATAGAAAACTCAGAAAAGATTAAATAAAATGGCCTAAAATATATAGTGAGTTTCTCTCTACTGTCCAGAAATTGGACAAACAAAAATTAAAGTAACAGTGAGATATGACTTTACAATGTAACATTTGCACTTAGCAGTTTGACAAAAATTAAACAGTACTAAGATTCAGCACTCTTATGTATTAATTGTTTACTTAAGTAATATTACAACCATTTTCAAGATCAGTCTGGCCATATCTACTAATCTTAAAAGCTTACATATAATATGAAGCAATCCAAGTCCTATGGAAGTATCCCAAAGGAAAAAATGTATCAGTACATCAGATTATATACAGAAATATATTGGCTGTAGTGTTGTTAGTATTAAGAAGGAAGCAGAATGAGTGGAAGAAGGAAGGAAGGAAGGAAAGAAGGAAGGAAGGAAAAAGAAGGAAGGAAAGAAAGAGAGATAAGAGAAATGTAAAGAAAATAAATGGATAAATTGTGGCATATGCATCCCGTGGAGTAGCATCAATTAATAGAAAAAAATGTGTAAGGGTTTTTAGTCTGTTTCAAAAGTGAGAAAAACAAAATTCGGAGACAAATATATTGTGATATCATTTCTATAATACAAATGATGAAAATGGCTTATATATGTGAATACACCTGTATGTATATATGTACACACATGTAGATATATGTATATGTGTGTATATATATTGCTTATGGACATATATAAGCATATATGTGTGTGTGATTAAATGCATATTTAAGGAGTGGTATAGATGATGGGTGAAAGGCTATTTACAGTTATCTTGGAGTAGGAAGTTGGAAGGGTAAAAAAGGGGAGGTTGGGAGGAGAGAAAAAGGGGAGAAAAAAAGCACAACATAAATATCCATGATAGAACAAAGAAGAGCATATATAATATGTACTTAAGTTATATGTTTTTATATAACTCATAATGAGATTTATGATTGGCTATTTACCAAAACATTTATTATTTCTCATAAGTAGTCTAATTTTAGGTGATTTTAAAAACCTTTATGTTGTATAAATTATTCACAAATTATTCTATTATACTTATAGATAAAAGTATATCATGTTTGTAATTTCTAATAAGGAAATTTTAATTGTAAAAATAAAATATGAGTGATATTTTAAATGATTTGCAATTCATTGAATTCGATGAAATTTTGGATTGTACCTTGATCTTTCTGATTATCATGGGTAATTTTTAAAAACTTTTTGATTATATGGCTAATGTTTTATTGTTTTTTATTGATTATATAGTAATAGATGTTTTATGATAAAACAATTAAAATGTTTCTGTTTATCTCCTATTTTGGTTTCTGTCTCCATTTACTGACATTGTATCTTCCTTGTGTAGATTTTCTGGCTTTAAACAATGTTTCCAGTTTTTATAATGTAGTAGATATTTCTGTAATGTAGACTTCTTATTACCTTCGCCTTAATAATTGTATATGTTAAAGGATCAGTAAGAAAATTTAGCTAAATTCATTATTTCCTTCAAAAGTTAAAACTGATAAAATAATTCTACCTAGCTTAGGTGCCCTACTATTATTAGCAAATCCACTTGTAATTTACGATATATTTCAATATTACAACTCTTGTTATTTCATAGAGAAAATAAACTAAACAAATATTTTCAAGTTTTGATATCTCCAACTAGAGGAGAGGACTCTAGTGTTTCAAAGACACTATCTTTGAAAATAGAATTGCACATAAAAATACGATTGTTTTTCTGTATTTTTCTAATTCTCTACTTTTACATGTTGTATAATATTTAAACTTAATGTACATAGGCCACCACAAAGTTATGATTCTGATTGCCAGTATTTAATTTTATCCATTTCTTTTAAAATTTTCTGCCACGGCCATCTATTGGCAATGGTACCTTTCAAAATAGTCCATCTATTTTAGTTGCGTGATGCGATTTAAAGGGTTAAAATGATGGTCTCTGTATCTGCAGAAGTAGAATTACTATATGACATGATATCAGATCCATGTTAGATTGTAATGCTCATGTTATCATAAGTAGCACTAGCGTACAAAATACGGCAATATAAAAATGATTTAAAGTAATTAACTAGTTGAAAGGGCTGCCTTGTGGATGCTGTGCCATTTCATCTTAAAATCTGACACCTTTACATGAACACGATGATCGGTTTACTGAGCTGTTTCAGTCCAACAGTGACTAAAGCCCAACCACTGGGGAGATAAATGCTTTCAATTATTTGCGGATTCACTGGAGACCCTGTGGAGCAGAGAACAATTAAGAAATAGATAAATCTAAGGCACAGAATAAAGAACTCTAGGTGTCAAGTATAAAAATGATGGGGTGTTAGTAAATGCTAAGCACTAAAAAACTCTCCATTTTATCCCAGCTTGGTTATCTATTCTCACTTAAAATGAGGTATGTTAATCCTTACTTACAGACTTTTAAGTCATCAACTTCTGCTGCTAAGTGCTCACTACTTTTTCTGATTTCTTGATGTCAGCGATGTCTAAACTAAATTCATTAAATCGGTGGAAATCCTTATGAATACCCAAGCAATGATTTAGATTAGCGTAGCTGTTTTGTTTGTGCATGCTGAAACTGCGGCGCAATAATATTTTATTCTGGAAATGGAAAAGAGTCACTCATACCTTACAATCCTTCCAGAGCAATAGTAGTCACTCTTGCATATTATTTTTCAGATTTTCTATATATTTGTAACTATTGTCATTTTAAAACATTCTGCTGTCAGTATGTTGAATATCTGTGAAGTTACTTTTGGGTTGGTATTGGTTATACCCACTGAACAAGAATAGAATCCTAAAGAAAGAAATTTAAAGGGGTAAACTAGCAGCTAGAAAAAATAGCAGAAAAAGCCTGCACTGTACACCTGACCCAGATTCACATACCTATCATATACTTCTCTGCTTATTCTGCATTGTTCTTCTTCAGTTAATGTCTAAAACAAAAATCAGTGAGATTATCGAACGAAATTACATGGAAACAATACAATAAATATTAAGATATATGAATATTAATTGTTACGAGAGCTCTAACTCGGAGGAAGCTTATAGAAATGGTGGAAGAACATCTGTGTGAGTGTGTGTGTGTGTGTATGTGTGTAACTATTGTTCTTACTAAATTTATCCATTACTTCCAAATGCAAATCCAATGTCTACTGTTAGACGACTGCTTATATTCTGATTTTGATCAAGACTGACTCTTGATCACATATAGAAAATTGACACGTCAGTATCGATAACCACAATTGTCATCACAACCAAGTAATTGCCGGTTATGTGGCCTTCAGATTACATAAAAATGCTTCTTTTAAGCACTGATAACTATTATTTTCTTTTCTTACATTTCCTCCATTTCTTTCAAATAACAAATACACCTTACAAATTCTTACATTTATGCTTTTAATAGTTTCCTGGTGCAAATTTAATTGGTCTTGCTTAATATTGCTTGATACAGTTTTGTATAAATCCATCTGAGACACAATATTTAAAAAATCTTCTTGAATAAAATATCATAATAAATTAAACTCTCTGTTAAACCCAGGGAGAAATCACTGTGTTAACACTTGATCTTGATTTTAAGAAGTGTCTTTCTTTTTCCATTCTTAAAAAAATGTTTCATCAATTGACATTTCACCCATACTATTAATGTTTTTAAAATTCTATATTTTGTCACAATGTGATGCATTTACTTTAATTGAAAAAATTACAAATAGCTTATTTGTAACTATATTTTCATAAAGTAATTTAAGAAACATAATTTTAGAATGATTAACACAATTTTCTCTATCAAACACAATTTGTTATTAATACCTTTGTATTCTATAAGTCCCTTAAACATGGTAACTAAAAACAGAATTTGTTCTGGGCATTATAGGATCATTTGAAAGGAAGTTCAAAGAGCTTATAGTCTGTCTCCCTCAGAGTGTCTTTATTTATTTATTTATTTTGAGATGAAGTCTCTGTCGCCCAGGCTGGAGTGCAGTGGCGCAATCTCGGCTCACCGCAACCTCTGCCTTCTGGGTTCAATCGATTCTCCTGCCTCAGCCTCCCGAGTAGCTGGGATTACAGGCATGTGCCACCACACCTGACTAATTTTAGTATTTTTTTCATAGAGATGGGGTTTCACCATGTTGGCCAGGCTGGCCTCGAACTCTTGACCTCAAGTGATCCGCCTGCTTAGGCCTCCCAAAGTGCTGGGCTTATAGACATGAGCCACCTCGCCCAGCCCCTTAAAGTGTCTTTAGATGATTTAGATTATTTAAAGTGTCTTTATAAAGGTAAGAAGAAGCAGTGAAATGGGAAGTTTAAATTATAGCACTATAGAATAAACAGTAGGAAAAACAAAAGTCATTGCTAAATAAATTCTACTTTTATAGAATGTCAGATTTATTTTCTTCAAGTCCCAGATCAGTTTTTGGATCCTTAATATTTCTTGAGGTTACACTATTATTTCAAATGCTCAGTATTTTATGTGTGTGAAACATGACCGGGGCATTTTTATGGAGCTAAGTAAAAAATAGTAAATGAAGAATACTCATTTTGTCTTTTCTAAGGAAAAAGAAAAACTGTTTAGAGTTGTTAGTGTGGTTAAATTAATAGTCTTGAGAAGTTAGCATTATTTAGACAGTCTGGTCAATATGATTCATTTGCAGATTTTTAAATATTTTCCTGTAAATTAGATACTTATTTTTCTGTTTTATGCTATATGTATATATTATATAGTATAGATAAATATGAATACGCATTTGTGGATGGATGTTCTGATATCTGCTTACATGGAATGTTTCTGGAAACCACTAAATGTATAATGCTTGATAATGGAAAAACATTAAGTAGATGGGGCAGCAAGTGCAAAAAGCACGAATTGGAAGAAGCTGTGGCGACTTATTTCCACAAAGTCAACACAGTTCTTCTGACTCATGCCTTTTGAACTTGCTAAAGTGTAAAAGGGCTTCGATAAAAGCCCATTCAGCTAAATCAGCTAAAGTGCAAAATGGGCTTCTTTATAAGCCCATTCATCTAAATCCATTAAAAAAGAGTTAAATAATTTAGCTTTGGGTATTGGGGGAACCTCAGTGTTAGGAACTGCATTTTGAATCACATTTTCCTTTTTCTGTCGATTGCTCCAATATTAAAGGCAAATAGTAGCCAGGCTCCAACATGTATGTAAGACTTAAGGGCATGCACTTTGCGTACAGACTTCATTCCTGGCTCCATCAGTTTTGCAAAAATTTTTTTCTTTGCTTTGTTTTAAAAAATGTATTCTAAATGTACATTATGTCCTTCTGCATCATTGGTGTTCTTGTAAGCCATCTTAATCATTTTTGAAGTAATATGTGGCATAAAATAAAAATTGATACAAATTAAATGTTAATGGGTTTATTGATTTTACAGTAAATGGTAGCAGGTAAAATAGAATACTTATTAGAATATTAGCCAAACTGGTAGATAAAACATGTAACTTAAAATACTTATCAAACAATTGGCAGTGGCACAACTACCACCACTGTATGTCCATGATTAATAAACAGTTGCTCTTCCAACTTAATTGCTATTGCCACATTATCAGGCAGGCCCAACACATATTTTCATTTAAGGAACAAAGAATGAGTAGTTATTTATGATACGGATTTCTGGATACTGGATATGTAAAGGTTAACAAATTATGACCTTATTCTTTAGATAATATAAGACAGAGAAATTTTGGAAGGGAGTTTTACAAATAGTGATAGTAATCACCATTGGTAGCAGCAGCAGCAGCATCTCTCTATCATGACATATACTGATAAAACACTATCAAACTGGCAAACGAGAGAAGACTTACTAAGGCCTATAGACCACGAGAAACATCCTGATACTTATCATTTAAAAATTGGCTGATCAATTGATGTCCTACCTGATGAGAAGTTTTTACTGGTATGCCGGAAAGCTCTGTTCTCAAGTTTATTGAATATGTTCACCAGTGACTTGGATGAAGAAGCAAATAAATGCTCATTAGCTTGTGAATAACACGAAGCTAGGAGAAATAGCAAAATGCAGCATGATAAATCAGTAACCACGATGTTCTCCATATAAAATAAACTAATAAATATCTACCCAAAATAGAGCAAACACAACTTAGTAGTAATATGTGTGGTACTGGTTTGAAGATTTTATGTGATAGTACTTTGCTAAAAATAACTATATGATGTAATTGTTTATAAAAAATCCAGTGCATTCTTTCACTATGTTAGGTGAGTCAGACATAGAATATTGTGTTAGTCGGCTTGGGCTGCCATAGCAAAATACTACAGGCTGAGTGGCTCAAGTAAAAGAATATGATACCCACATCTAAAATTTTATACCTACATAGGATACACTACAGTGCCATGCATATATCATTCAAAAACTTATTTGCAAATGAATTGAGTTGCATTTTTAATTGCTGAATTAAATAAAAGAAAATAAACAAGACTAAATATTTAATCCAAATTGAAAGTCTCCATTTTTGTTAAGGCCACTTTATTAAGATTACTAAACTCTTTCAAAAAAAGATTTTCTTCAAAATTCTATAAAAAGATTTAAATCCAATTGTCATGAAATTTGAGGTTCTTTCTTCCAATCTCCCTACTCACAAAGTTGATAGTGGCAACCTTCTTGATTAGTATTTCATTTTCAGATATTGTAAAACAAAATGGTTCAATGAATTAAATATGGTATAATTTGACTACAAGAAGGCACTGAACCAATACTAAAATAATAAATTTAAATGTTCTTGTATAAACATTTATTTTATCTGTCATACTTTACTTAAATATTTATTTACATACAAGATTGGAAGAAAGTCTATACTCTTTATATAAATAGGCTAGGTGCTAAAATTGTCATCCAGAAATAGTAAACCAAAATATATTTATGTCATTCTAATGCCTTGTTCCTATTATTCATGTGTTACTTTAGAGGTATTTGTTTAATTCAGTTTACTGAGAAATATAATTAACAAATATATGTTTTTAGTTGAAATATAAACTATAATGGTTCTGGCACCTTTGTAATGGCAAATGCGTTAGGGAGTGTGATAATGTCAGATTGTAATAAAGCATATGATTTTATGAAATCAAAAAAAATCATTTGGTTGTTTCAATAAGTCAATCAAAATATTTATTAGGAGTCTACTGTAATCAATTCTTAGCAAACTATAATCCATTTCCTGACAGTGCTATTTCAATTTGAAAATAGGTTCAGGAACTATCACTGTATGAGTTATGGGAGATCCACATTTTCCACATTATCAGCATAATATAGATAAGCTCAATCAATCATACACAAAGCAACCCTCTTTTTTATACAGGGTAAATATTTTATATTTATATAGGGTAAATATTTGCAGCGCTAAGAAAGGAATTGAAATATACAGAGAACCTATATAGACAATAAAAACATATTGCCACAATGGCACATATGCATAGTTAATAAAAGAGTATACAGAAATACAAACTTAAAAATGCTTCACTTCACCAGTAATAAAAGAAATGCAAATCAAACTCACAAAGTTGTTTTCATGCTCATATAATGAGCATATATTTTAATTGAGTATTCAAGACCAGCGACTTTAAGATAAGATAATTATGTCACTAGAGAGCATGTAACCAGTAAAACTTTCTGAATTATTCCATTGGTTATTCCCCTTTTTGTGATCCTCATTCTCTTTTCTAGTAACTAAATAATCAGAAAGTCAATATAATTTATACATGGAAATGATTTTCTGTTTCATTTGTGACAAAAATTTTGGAAAAGATCACACAAATGCTTAATAGGGAAATTATGTCAATTCGAGTAAATATTATGAAGGCTTTGAAGTGACGTTTATGAAGATCTTTAATGATGGGAAAATGTTTATCATATAATGTTGAGTTTTTAAAAAGAAGACAAGTTAGATCACAAATAAAAATAAAGAAAAGGAAATGAGAAACAAAGATGCCAAAGTGCTAAAACTGGTTCCTCGATGCAATGAGGTTATCGGTGTTTGCTTGTTTTTTTCTGAGTCTTTACATGTTTATGACTTTTCCAACATTCTGCGATGAATACTGCTCTAAAAATCGGAGGGGGGACAACACAAAAAGATATTTTATATCCAGATGAAAATAAGCTTCCACTAAAGACATGGCGGGATAGTTGCTTCAATAAATTGTGCTTGGGAAGCTGAATAAACATATGCAGAAGAATGAAACTAACCCCCCGATTCTCCCCTTATGCAAAAATCAACTAAAAATGGATCAAAGACCAAAACGTAAGACCTGGAACTATAAAACTACTGGAAGGAAATTTAGGGGAAATGTTTCAGGACATTGGGAAATAGTTTTTTGTAGAAGACCTCAAAAGCACAGGCAACAAAAGCAGAAATAAACGAGTAGGATTATACTAAACTAAAAAGCTTCTGCACAGAAAAGGAAAGAATCAACGGAGTAAAAAGACAACCTACAGAATGAGAGGAAAACATTTGAAAACTACTCATCTGACAGGGGATTAATATTCAGAATATACAAGGGACTCAAACATCTCAACAGGAAAAAACCCAAATAATCCTATTTAAAAATGAGCAAATGATCTGAGCAGATATTTCTTAAGACATACAAATAACCGACATATATATATGCAAAAATGTTTGACATCACTAATTATCAGGGAAATGCAAATCAAAACCATAATGAGCTATCATCTCTCACCAGTTAAGACGGCTATTATCAAAAAGACAAAATAATTACTAATGCTGGTGAGGATGTGGAGAAATGGAAACTCTTATACTCTTATACATTATTGGTGAAAAGTAAACTAATACAGCTACTATGGAGAACAGATGCAAGTTCCTCAAAAAACTACAAATAGAACCACCGTATAATCCAACAATCCCACTACTGGGCATTATTTATTCAAAGGAAAGAAAATCAGTTTATCAAAGAGACATGTACACCCCTTTTTTTATTACAGCACTATTCATGTAAGAAAGATATAGAAACAACCTAAGGTTCCAAAAACAGAAGAATGGATAAAGAAAATGTGGTACATATACATGGCAAAATATTATGCAGCCATAAAAAATGAAATCCACTTGCAACAACATGGATGAAACTGGAGGACATTACGTCAAGTGAAACAAGCCAGAAACAGAAAAGTAAACACCATATATTCTCCCTTGTCTGTGGAAGCTAAAAAAAAAAAAAAAAAGTTGATCTTTTAGTGGTAAAATGTAGAATGGAGGATACTAGAGACTGAGAAGGGTAGGGGGAAGGGAGACATATATCTTAAACTAATATAATGGTTATATGTAAAGAAAAAATGTAGAACAAGTACAAAATAAACTTCTATAGCTATAAGTTGTAAACTAATTTTTGAGATAACACATGGTTAACACATTGAAGGGAAATCTGCATAAAGTATTAAAAGTCATGACCCATCAGGCAAGGAATTGTCCCAATTTATTCAATACTCTTCAGAAAGAAATTGTCTATTAAACATCAAAATAATGCCATTACTTGTTGATCTAACCCACTCCCAGAATTTATCTTGAAGAAATAATTTTAGATTATATAAAAGCTTATTACTAAAATAATAGTTATTTTAAAAATAAACCAAATTTTAAAAACTTTCTCTGGCCTATCATTTTTTAAAAGAAATTAGTTATAATATAGAAACTCAATTAAATGATATACAGTTATTATAATTATGTTTCAAAATCTATGCAATGTCAGGCCATGCACAGTGGCTCACACCTAATTCCAGCACTTTGGGAGGCCAAGGCAGGAGGATCACTTGAGCTCAGGAGTTCGAGACCAGCCTGGGCAACATGGCAAAACCCCATCGCTACAAAAAATAGCCTGGCTTGGTAGCGCATGCCTGTAGTCTCAGCTGCTTGGCTGAGGTGGGAGGATCCTTTGAGCCTGTGGACGTCGAGGCTGCAGTGAGCCAAGATCATACCACTGCACTCCAGCCTGGGCAACACAGTGAGACCTTGTCTCAAAAAGAAAAAAAAAAAAAAAAGAAAAAAGTCTATGAAATATCATGATGAAATACTTAACATACAAAGTAAATTGCAAAAGTAAAATGCAAAATAGTAGATTTAAGATCCCAGTGGGGTAAAATTATATATCCTTATTTATATGTAAAAGAAGGTAAAAGAAACACAAAAGGCCGTTAACAGTAATTATCTCTGAATGGTAAGATTATAGATGACATTTTTACTCTATTTTATGGACATTCAAGTTTTCAAAAATAAATATGTGGCGTTTATTTATTTGATTATTTTAGGACATAGTTTAATAAACTTTATTTTTTAGAGCAGCTTTGAATTTATAGAAAAATTATAAAGGTAGTACAGAAAATTTCCATGTGTCCACAGGCAGCTTCCCCTATTACAGTCATGTTTCCTAAGGATGGGGATGCATTATGAGAAATGTGTCCTTAGACAATTTTGTTGTCATGCAAACATCATAGAGTGTACTTACAGAAATCTATATGACATAGCCTACTACACACCTAGGCTATATTGTGTAGCCTACAAACCTGTACAGCATGTTACTGTACTGAATACTGTAGGCAATTGTAACATAATGGTAAACAGATCTAAACAAGAAAAGGTACAGTAAAACACCTCATAAAAGATAAAAAATAGACTGGGCGCGGTGGCTCACGCCTGTAATCCCAGCACTTTGGGAGGCCGAGGCGGGCGGATCACGAGGTCAGGAGATCGAGACCATCCTGGCTAACACGGTGAAACCCCGTCTCTACTAAAAATACAAAAAATTAGCCAGGCGTGGTGGCGGGCGCCTGCAGTCCCAGCTACTCTGGAGGCTGAGGCAGGAGAATGGCGTGAATCCAGGAGGCAGAGCTTGCAGTGAGCCGAGATTGCACCACTGCACTCCAGCTGGGCGACAGAGCGAGACTCCATCTCAAAAAAAATAAACAAATAAAAGAAGATAAAAAACATTACATTTGTACAGAGCACTTACCATGAATGAAGCTTGCAGGACTGGAAGTTGCTCTGGTTGTCAATGAGTGCGTGGTGACTGAATGTGAAGGCCTAGGACATGAAGGTACACTATGCTAGACTTTATAAACATTGTACACTTCTACAGTAAATGCATAAAAAGAATTTTTCTTTTCTCAATAGTAAATTAACCTTAGCTTACTATAACTTTTTACTTGATAAACTTTTGCATTTTTAAAACTTTTTGACTCTTGTAATAACACAGCTCAAAACACAAACATATCGTATAGCTGAAAAACGTCTTCATTCTTTATATCCTTATTCTAAAAAGTTCTACAAGTTTTATGTATTTATTTTTACTTTTGATACTTGTTAAAAGCTAAGACACAAGCAGACACAATATTAGCCTAGGTCTACAGAGGGTCAGGATCATCAATACTGCTGTCTTTTACCTCTACTTTTTTTTCCCACTGGAAGGTCTTTAGGGGCAATAACATGCATGGAGCTGTCATCTTCTATGATAACAATGCCTTTCCTGAAATACCTCCTGAAGGAGCTGCCTCAGGCTGTTTTACAATTAACTTTTTTAATACATAGAAGGATTACACTCCAAAATAATGATTAACAGTATAGTATATAAATAAACCAGTAACAGTGGTTTGTTATTATTGTCAATTTTTATATGCTGTACACAATTGTATGTACTATATTTTTATATGACTGGCAATGCAGTTTACACCATCACCACAAACCTGTGGTTTGTTTATACCATCACCACAAAAACGTGAGTAATGGATTGCTTTACAACATTACAACAGCTACTACGAAGTCACTAGGCTGTAGGAATTTTTCAGCTCCATTAAAATCTCATGGGGCCACCATCATACATACAGTTCATCGTTGACCAAAGCCTCATTATGTGGCACATAACTGTATTAATATCTTTCATTCGTATATTGCATTTGTTACCATTAATGATACTGATGCATTATTATTAACCTAGGTCCGTAATTTGTTAAGATTTCTTTAGCTTTTCCCTAATGTTCTTTTTATGTTTTAGAATCTTATCCAGGATACCATATTGCCTTTAGCATTTATATCTCTTTAGAGTTCCCCTTAGCTGTGACAATTTCTGAGTCTTCCTTGTTTTTGATGACCTTAAGAATATTTAGAAGTACTGGTCAGATATTTTCAGAATACACTCAGAGGTGGCATTTGTCTGATTTTACTTTCACGGCTAAACAAGGAATATGAGTTTTGGGGAGGTAGGTCATATAGGAAAAGTCCCATTTTTATCACATATCAAAGGTACATACATTCAACATGATTTATCACTGTTGATTTTGACCTTAATCACTTGGCTGAGGGAGTGTTTGTCAGCTTTTTCCACTGTGGAGTCATTTTCCACCTAACTTTGCCTTCCCATACCATACTCTTTGGAAGGAAGTCTCTTTTTGTCTTATTATTGATCTGTAAGAGATCTTTATATATTGTGGATATAAGATATTTGTCATTTTGTCACTGTTGCTTGTTTTTTGCATTTTCCTGGTTGATTGTTTTTAAGAGTAGAAGTTTAGACATTTAGGAAAGTTCTGGGCTAAAATCCACTTGGCTAGGATGTCTTATTCCTTTTATGTATTTTTAGATTTAATTTGCAAACACTTGTGGTTATGTTTGTGAGGAACGTTTGCAATTTTCTTTCCTTAGAATGTGTTTGTCAGATCTTTCCCTTTGTTGGCTTTACTGTCCTCATGAGATAAATCAGGGAATGTTTCCTTCTCCTTTATTGTCTGAAACTTTTTAAATAAAATTGTTATAATTTCTTCCTTTAGTGTTTGAAAAATTCATCAGTAAAACTACCTGGAAAGTGTTTCATTTGCAGGAACTACATAAATTTGTATTTCAGTTTCATAAATACACATAAGGTTATTCAGGTTTTTCATTTCTTCTTAAATCACTTTTAGTAACTTATATTGGCATTTCTCTACTTCATCTAAGTGGCTGAATTTGTTAGCGAAAAGTTGATCATAATATTCCTTTATTATCCTTTTAATGCCAGCAGTATCTATAGTGTATTTCTTTTTCATTTCTAACCTTGGTAATGTCTGTTTTTTCTCTCTCTATTTTTAGTCATGCTAGCTGTTTATGAAATGTGCTGAACTTCTCAAAGAACCAAGTTTTGGCTTTCCTAGTTTTCTCTGTTGTTCATCTTCTATTTTGTTAACCCCTAAGTCTTATCATTTTTATATCCTTGATTCCACTTTCTTTGGGTTTATTTTACTCTTTCTAATTTCTCAAGATGAAAATGGACATAATTGACTCTCAGTCTCTTTTGCTTTCTTAAAATCATAAATTTCTTCATAAGCACTGCTTTAGATGGGCTTACAAATTATAATACTTTGAATTTTTATTGTCATTTAATATGTAATATTTTCTAATCTTCCTTGTGTTTTTTGTTTGACTCATGGATTATTTAGAGGTGCATTGTTTAATTTTCAATTGTTTTGGCCTTTCCAGATATCTTGTTAATAATTTAAAATTTTATACCCAGCATAAAGTCTATTTTGATGAATGTTTCATGTGAAAATAATGTGTATGCTGAAGTATTGGTATACTGTTCTGCAGTTGTCCATAAGAGCAAGTTTTTCCAGAGTGTTGATTAGATTTTCTACATACTCATTGGTTTTTCAAAATTACTAAGAGTATGGTCTTAAAATCTCCAACATTTATTGTAGATTTTTTGATTTCTTATTTTGTTTCTGTCAGTTTTTTAGTGTATTTTGAAGCTTTGTTATTTATTGCATGCTCATTTAGGATGGCTATGTATTTGTATTAGTTATCATTTAATCATTACATAATATTCCGTTTACACTTACCAGCTTCCTTGTGTTATGGTGTATCTGGTATATATTGTCCAATTCTTACTTTCAATTGGTTTTGTATATTTATAGTATATATCTTTGGGGCAGCATATCACTGGGCTTTATCTTTTTATTATTCTGACTACCCATACTTTTTAAAAATTATATTTTAAGTTCTGGGGTACATGTGCAAAACGTGCAGTTTTGTTACAGAGGTATACAGGTGCCACGGTAGTTTGCTGCATCCATCAACCTGTCACCTACATTACGTATTTCTCCTAATGCTATCCCTCCCCTAGCCCCCAACCCCCTGTTAGGCCCTGGTGTGTGATGTTTCCCTCCCTGTGTCCATGTGTTATCATTGTTCACTTCCCACTTATGAGTGAGAACATGTGGTGTTTGGTTTTCTGTTCTTGTGATAGTTTGCTGAGAATAACGTTTAGCCATAAAAAAGAATGAGTTCATATCCTTTGCAGGGATATGGATGAAGCTGGAAACCATCATTCTCAGCAAACTATCACAAGAACTGACTACCCATACTTTTTAAGTGGAGTATTTAACCTTTTATGTTTAATATAATTATTGCTATTGTTGATTTAAAGGTTTTATCTTGTCATTTGTTTTCTCTTTCTCTCTCTGCCTCTATTAACAATTTCTGTTTTTCTGCCTTCTTTGGAGTAAATTAAACATTTTAATGATTTTATTTTACTTTATTTGTTTTTTGAAGTTATTTTTTCTTCCTTTATGCATTGAGATATAATTTACACACAATAAAATTCACTTAGTGTAAGTATAAAATTCAATGATTTGTTATACATTTTAGAGTCGTACAACTCTCACCTTAATTCATCTACGGAATATTTTCCTCATTCCAGAAAGTCTCCTTATCATTATAATAAAATCATGCTTCTGCCCACAGTTCTAGACAAGCAATCTCTTCTCTGTCTTGGTAGGTTTTTCTTTTCTAGGAATTTCATGTAATTAGAAACATACAATATGTCTTTTATGTCTGGGTTAGCATAATGGCTTTGAGATACATTCATAAAATAATATACATGAAGTTAACACGTTTTGTTTTTTTGTTCATCAGTTTACAACATTTAGATTGTTTGCAATTTGGGGTTAATATGAATCATTTTGCTATGAATATTTGCATATTCATATTAGTTTTTGGGTAGATCCATGTGATCATTTTTATTGAGTAGATTCCTAGTGTGGGAGTTGCTGGATCATACCAAGTTTATGTTTAACTTTTTAAAAAACTCCCAAACTGTTTTTAAAAGTGGATGTGCCTTTCCGCATTCCTACCAGCAAGGGAAGAGTATATCAGTTTCCGGATATACTTGCTAACATTTGATATTATCAGAATTTTTATTACAGTCATTCAGAATTTTTATTATGGTCATTCAGTATTGATTCATTTTGTGGTTTTAATTTGTATTTCCCATATGACTAAAATATTAAGCATCTTTTCATGTGCTTATTAATTATTTGTATATATTTTTGGTTAAATATCTATCCAGAGCTTTTGTCAATTATTAAAATAGGGAAATTGGGTTGTTCTTATTATTGATTTGCATTCTGGATACAAGCATTGTAAAAATATGTGATTTGCAAATGTCTTCTCCTACTCTGTAACTTGCATTTCATTTTTATTTTCTTAGTGGTGTCTTTCAGAGCAAAGTTTTTAATCATAAAGAAGGTGCAATTAATCATTCTATGCATTAAAGGATTGTGCTTTTGGTGTTATAGCTAAGAAATTATTGCTGAACCTAAAGTGACAATTATTTCCTCCTGGAAATTTGTATTACTTTGGCTGTTATATTTAGGTCTTTGATACATTTGGAATTATTGTATTGTGTGAGGTAATTTTAAAACATTTGTTTGAAATGTACATTTAAGAATTTTTATAGGCTGATATATTTTTTCAGCAACAAAATTATGCAAATAGAAATGTTTTCAAGATCTTCTATTTTCAACATTTCTTTTAAAAGTAATGTGTTCATATATATTTTAAAATAATATTTACATAATTACTTTCTTAGTTTTCTGAAACTAACGAATGGCATACTAATTGCCACCACTGATTATCACAAAAAACTATAAAGTTTTGACCGTTTTTCTTTTTAAATAAGACAAATATGTAAGCACTTCCTGTAAGCATTTGCCACAAGATAATCAGCAAATCTTTGTGTGACAGAAAACAAATTATAATCAGTATTCATCTCATTTAAAAGATTTGTTAATATTCTCCTATATGCTTAATCGTATTAAAAATAAGTTAGAATATCTTTATAGACAATGGAATAACTGAATCACTCATTTTCAGTTGATTGCAGCAGGTATTGAAATTACAAGTGCCCATAGGTGCTAAATTTCTTCCCTTGATTACTTTTGATTCCAGTCAAAGAAGGTGGTCTATCAATGGAGAAAATTAAATTTTCACTATAAAATATTTTTATTCAAATTAAGGAAGAAATTTAGAGTTGGATAAATGTTTTCTCCATAAATCTTTCCTTTTGTAGCTCTGAGAGCTGAAAATAACTTGTTCGTGATTGATACCTTGAATAATAGTCTGACAGAGAAGGACTTAACTTCCTGTTTAGCAGGACCATTTGTGAGCTGAAATTTTCTCTATTAAAACTGACGACAACCATTCCTTAAGATAGATATACAGTGTAAATAGAATGATGAGATGGTGAATCAGGGCTTCTGAATACTGGTTTACCATACTATACAACTTCATCAACAAGGCTTGGAATGCAGTCTCTGATTATACCATTAGAGGGACTGATGTACACTCAACTAAGAATAATGAAGTGGCAGATAAGGTCAGTGGTCTCACTGGTCTGCCTTATTACACAACAACAAATGGATGATGAAACCCACTGCCTAATCATTTCTAGAGGAGGCCCTGGTACTTCTGCAGCCATAGATTTCATAAGTTACATAGTCGAAAGACTAGGGCCCTTCTTCCAAAATCTGACATCCAACTTGGATAGAGAATTCTGTATCTGCGATTTCTCTGGTTTTTGTATGTTTTTTTTCTGGATAAATAAGTACTACCCGGTATGTGTCATTTGATCTGATATGCTTGGAAGGCCTGTGAACACAAACAATTTGTTCTTATTCTATTTCATTGTTGAATCAGAATCTAGTAAATAGAATAAGCAAAGAGATTATATAAATGCCTGCACCTCCATTATATTGCCACATTGCATGTTTTTTCTAATACTGTTTTTTCATACCTTCAGCAATGTTTTATACAAGCTTCCTGACATTACTGGCTGAGACAGGAAGCCTGACTTATTGTTTTCAGCGTATATTTTCAGTCATTTTTATTGCAGCAGAAAGAATATGCATTTCTCTGATTGTGTCTTTCACTATTAAGTAATAAGCTTCAAAAAAAGGTTTGTAAACACTTATCATTAAATGCACTGAAACTTCATAAAATACTGGACTGAGTAGAACATGACTTTCAGCATGGAAGAAAAAAATGTGGAAGTTTGTATTATTCTAGATTCTATTTACTTATTCATAATATTATATATTATATGAGTGTGTATATATGTTTATATGCGTGTGTATATATGTATATGTGTGTATATATATGCATGTGTAGATATGTATATATGTGTGTGTATATAAATGCATGTGTAGATATGTATATATGTGTGTGTATATATGCATGTGTATATATTTTAAGCATTGCAATATATTTTATATATATGCATGTATATATATATGCATGTGTATATATGTGTATATATATGCATGTGTAAACATGTATATATGTGTATATATATGCATGTGTAAACATGTATATATGTGTGTGTATATATATGCATGTGTATATATTTTAAGCATTGCAATATATTTATATTTATATATATATATATATATTTATAGAATATAGCTCATGCTTTTCTGTCTGGGCTATACTGAATGCCAGTCTCAATAACGATGAATCCTGAAGATAATCAATATCCTCATATAAGGAAAATGCCCTAAGTGAATTCTTTGTCATGTTTTTATGTAAGAGAAGCTAAATTCCTTCAGGATAGGGAGGAGATACTTCTGATGAAAAAGTAGATTCAAGGAAATTTATGGAGCTCAATGATTTTAGCCTCATCTGTGTCTGCACAAATATCTCTATCTGAAGTCTCAAGGTCTCATTCATTCCCAGCTAGTGCTCTTAACTTACTACAAAACACCTGGTAGGATGGTACATTGAACTGGTGCTGCAACATGCACACTTAAAAATCAGATTTTGATCTAATCTTTATCTATTTCTACCCAAACAGGTGATGGCCTTAGAAAGTCTCAAGAATAAATATGAATGTCCCAAACAATTTCTCTTTACAACTTGAGTGCAATTTGACACAACAGGATCGGTGCCATCATGCTCATCACCAAAGAACACTCTTAATTGAGATTCCTGACACCTTACATAGTACTTTTGGGTTTGAAGGAAGTTTATGTTGTTTTAACTACAATTGTAATAATTACTGGAATTACCTGATCTTTTAACAATTAAAATGTAAGCCCCAAATATTATCCCATCTAACCCTCCTAATTATTCAGTGAGGTAGATATTGTTATTCCATTTTTATAGGTGGGGGAATTTGGCTGTAGAAGGCAACATTACTGTCCAAGATCACACAGCTCACAGGCAGGCCCTTGGTTCCAAGCCTTTGCTTTCTCACATTATTTCATAGTTTCTTAATTGTTTTTTTTGGGGGGAGGGGGAGGAAATTATAAATTTATTTATAGTTACAAAGCATTAAGGATATTGTCACAGTATGTATATAATTAAATTCCTTATTTGTGTGGCTATGTAGTCATGTATATTTATTTGAATCACTGATTTATACATCCTTATTTGCTGTTGCTGCTTTGTGCTTTTATTCTGATCCATACACAGAAAATAATGTATGGGCTTTTATTGAGCAAATCTCTTGATGGAAAGTAATTCCTGATGCATCAATGAACAGAGAATTGGTGGGACAAAATAGCATCGGTTTTTGTCTACATAGCTTAATAGTAAGTACTCAGAATTTTTTTTCTTTATTGAAATTATTTTTTATTTTATTATTATTATACTTTAAGTTTTAGGGTACATGTGCACAATGTGCAGGTTAGTTACACATGTATACATGTGCCATGCTGGTGTGCTGCACCCATTAACTCGTCATTTAGCATTAGGTATAACTCCTAATGCTGTCTTAATTGTTTTAAAACTAGGATGAAATAATGCTTGCAGGTTGAGAAAAGTAGATTTATGTGTGTCCCTGGGAGTACTGCCTCAATGACTAGGGCGATTATTCCAAATAAATAGCGGTGGAGAAGTTTCGTGTATATTCTTTTGAATATGCAGTGATTGATATAGAAATTATGCATTTTATTGCTGCAGCATTATGTACAGTTTTGGGTCCCAAAACAGATTATGCAAGATATCAGTGACTCAGCTTTTCTCCTGAGTTACATACTTTTTATTTTTATAGGTCAAGCACTTTATGCATATGCATTGTTTTACTTTATATATCTGTGATCTTTGTGTCTTAAATAGCATTTCATTTTGTGATCTGAGCATTCCAGAGTTGATATGCTTTAGGACTGTGAGATAATCACTATTTGATTGTAAATACTCTTTAAGTGAATGTATTTAACTTATTTTGTTAAAAAACCATATGCCAACATTTTGATATTTTAATGTACAATTTGCATATTTATCAATTAACAAAGCATTAAACCTCATTTTTTATTTTTTTCCAATAAACTTTCCTACAACAATCCTTTTAAATTCAGAGAAAACTTTTGGGTGCAGCATTAGTCATTATTTTTAAGTATGACAATTAGTTTACTTAATTTTGTTGACATATTTGCTTTTTAGGAAATCATTTATTTGGTTAGTTTTGTAGACATCACTTCAAAAGTAAACAACACTCAAAAAGATTGATTAATATGTATTTTCAAAACACACATAGATATCTCTGAAATCTGATTTAGGACATTTCTGTCCTAGTAGAATACAAACTAAGTTATTCTAGTGATTATTTTCCCTTTATGTATGTGTTTCTCCTCACAAATTCTCCCCTAGGTTCAGCAAAAGTGATGCTACTGAAAAAACGCAGTGAGGAACAAAGGAAGATAAAGTGAACTCTGACATATTTTCTCTACTCAGAGTTCTTTGGTCCATCATGGTGTAACCTCCAATCCTTAAAATTTCAGTGGAAAGTAGTATCGTAAAAAAAAAATCATTCTGATCACCCAAATTGCCCCTCTGGTGATGAAGACCCTGAAGCTATAAAGAACCAAAAGAAATGAATTGATTCGCTTCTAGTGCTTCTCCAGAAAATCTCAAGTCTAGGTATCTAGAGATGCCTAAAGCAATTGAAAACAACCTTTTTACCTGTGTTAAGTAGAATTTATAGGAGGTTATTGCTTCAGAATGAATTCCTGCACTAGGCTCAACAGACCAAACCAAACTGGAGTTACTCATGCTGAAGTTTCATATCACCAAGCCAAAACCGTTTTTTAATCTGACTTTCCAAGAAATTAGGAGAGATTAAAAGATAATAGCCAAATCCCCAAACAGGCCAGTTAGCTGACATGATAAGGAAATCCCCCGGGCTTTAACGTTTACAGCGAAAGTAATTTTAAAACACCCAATCCACTTTTGTTCTGTTTCTACTTTCTGTGGCCCCTTTCTGCCTATAAAGCCAAACTCCTCTATTCACTCAATTCACTGGAGCACTCATTTAATTTTATAAGAATAAAGTGTTGTGTGATTCCAGAATCACAAATAAAAGCCAATTAAAATATTTAAGCTACATTTGTTGTAATTTTATCTCCGAAACCTAGATGCTCTAAATCTGGCCTAAATCTGCTCATTGTACCCCTTTGTTCGAGATCAACTACTTGCTTTGTCAAGTGAATTAATTCTATGTTTCGGTTTTCAAACTTTCATTTTTTTCACCTAATGAATTTCAATAAAGCATGAATAATTCTTACATTTAGGACAAAGAAGGTGAAAGTTCTTACTTATTCCCACTGGAAAATTTACAACGAGAATGCAGACATGCTTGATCACAAAAGTTTGTCTTTGGGGTATAACATTGTATGTTTATATAAACATACATAAATTTATACTCAACAGTTGTTCTGCTCAGGAAAGTGTGTCACTTATGAAAGAAGCAGTTGCTGTTTGAGATAAAAGCAAATGATGCTATTTGTGGGTTGATTCTCTTCTGGTATGTTATTACTAGGCCTCTGTGCTGCGTCCTTAGAGCTGGCCTTGCTTTTAACCTCTTCTCTGGGAACTTCCTTGGCAGTTTTATTTCTTTACTACAAAGTCCAATTTCCAATAGCTACGCTTAAATTAATTTTAACATTGCAGGAAAAGAACCCTTACGTCAAATTTCTCTCCCACACACAGTTATCACATTGTTACTGACATTTTTGAGGTAACTGTACATATTTGGATTCCTGATTTAACTTTAGCAAGTTGGAAATGGGAAATACCCTGTCTCAGACTCCAGTTAACTCTACTCTCCCGGGGCTGCGTGTTTCTGTTCATGTCCTTATTTCATTATTCATTTTGAATAATAATAAAACAAACAATTTTAATGACCAATACAACTTAGATTAGATACTGTTTAACTTCAGTTAATTACCTCAACTGTAGATACTAAGATGTTCCCTAAGGAAAAAATAGAACACTGTATCTTTGTAGGATAGACAAAAATAATAGTTCTACATTGTTTCATATTTTTATATGAAATATCATAACACTGCCATGCATTAATAGTTAACTTTCAAGTTTTTCTCATCTATTAAAATGTTATCATAGGCCGGGTGCAGTGGCTCATGCCTGTAATTCCAGCACTTTGGAAGGCCGAAGCTGGCGGATCACTTGAGGCCAGTAGTCCGTGACTAGCCTGGGCCAACATGGTGAAACCCATCTCTACTAAAAATACAAAAATTAGCTGAGTGTGGTGGTGCACACCTGCAATCCCAGCTAATCAGGAGGCTGAGGCAGGAGAATCGCCTGAACCCAGGAGGAAGAGATTGCAGTGAGCTGAGATTGCGCCACTGTACTCCAGCCTGTGTGACAGAATGAGACTTTGTCTCAAAAAAAAGAAAAAAAATTCAAAAAATAAATAAGTAAAAAGCAAGTTTTCATTAAGAGCACACAGGCTGGAAGGAAATGTAGTTTATTGCTGCAATTGTCTGGTGTTAGAATTTTGCTCATGGAAGCACAATCAGCACAGATTAGAGAAAGATCTGGAGGAGAGACAGTGGCTGAAGAAACCAGGATATATCATAGTTCCCTCAACTGCCCCATGATCCTGGGTTCATCAAAATACTGTCATGATAACAGCCACTCTATGCTATAAAGGAGGGGGTTTACCAGTGGTTTACTGCAGGCTTAAAAATTGCTGAAAAGAGGTTTCTCTGACAACATATCAGACATAAATATGCTCTTTCGCTGATTAGATATGAAACGTAATCAGGCGCAATCATTCCACAACAGGCTCTAGAACCTGCAGGGGCTGACATCAGTGAGTTGTCTGCTGTCGTGGGTATAATCCTTGAATGCAGCAAATACAAAAGATTTGGAAATTATGCAGTAACTAGAAAAGTAATTCCCAAAGTATATTCTACAAAGTCCCCGTTCTGGCACTTTTAATAAATTTGGAGAAAGGTTACATGTCTACATCAATTTGAGAGAATTTTGCTAAAATTGTTACTTGAGTATCTGTAAAGACAATTTTTCTATATGGCAGTATTTTTTTAAAAAACGTTTCGGCCGGGTGTGGTGGCTTACGCCTGTAATCCCAGCACTTTTGGAGGCTGAGGCGGGCAGATCACGAGGTCAGGAGATCGAAATACGGTGAAATCCCATCTCTATTAAAAATACAAAAAATCAGCTGGGCGTGGTGGCATGCGCCTGTAGTCCCAGCTACTGGAGAGGCTGAGGCAGGAAAATCTCTTCAATCTGGGAGGTGGAGGTTGCAGTGAGCCGAGGTCGGGCCACCGCACTCCAGCCTGGGTGACAGAGTGAGACTCTGTTTCAAAAAAAAAAAAGTTTCAGCATCCTAATATGTATAGATTGATTAAAACTGCATTTGAGCTTTGGCTGCATCTTTCCTACATTACTGTTATTTATATGAAGAATTTCTTAATTTTAGTTATCTGGGAAACACTCATTTAGAGAGACATTTTCTTAAATCAGTGTTACCCATTGTAACCACTCAGGGGCAACAACCTCATATTACCAATACCAAATATGATCCTGGCTGCTTCTACCCCACCCAAATCTACTTCTCCCGTTCTTGCAGAGTAAGAGAATAATAGACTCCCTTCACCAGGCTCCTCTAGAGCTAGGTTTAATGACATAACTGCATTGTTGCTAGTGGAATATGAGTGGAAATGGTAAGCACCCTTCCGATTATGAGTCTTAAGGCATTGAATGTGCACTTCTCCATACACCTCTGTCTTCCAGCCATCTGGAGGATGACTGTATCTATGACCCACTTTGGCTTTGTAGACAAAAACAGAGCCCTCAGTAGTGACAAAGAAACATGATGTAAGGAGCCTGTACCACTGAATTTCCAGAACAACTTGGACCACTGTCCTTGGAACATTTATTGAGCATTTACTGTGTGTAAAGTAGAACTATCATATTGCACAATTGCACAACTGTATTCTGAGTGATTTTTAGGTATTAGACTATTTAATCTTCAAAATAATACTTTGAGTTATCTCCTTTTTACAGATAAAGTAACTTAGCACAGAGAGGTTAAGTAACTTCTCTGATGTGCTGCAGTGAGGAAGTGGCCAAGGTGGGATTCAAACCTCCTCAGTCTGGCTCTAAATCTAAACACTTTATACTCTACTGCCAATCACTTGGAACAGTCAAACGAAATTATACTTAGCTCATGATTTATAGAGCATTTATATATCAGCTCATTTCATAGAATTATATGCACGTATTTCAAGCCATATGGTTATAAATATTTAAATTCATCAATAAATTTGCAAACATATATTGATCACCTAATTTCATTTAGCATTTTAATAGCATATGTATGAAATTTCTAGGTTGTTCAGTTGTGAGGTGGGTAGCTAATATATTCATAGAACTACGAATGCAAAGGAAACCAATGATGAATAATTTTTTACTATGAACAAAAATTAAAATATTAATATATCTTATGAGGTTAAAATAATGCCTAAATAATAAAACTAATCAAATCCTAATTAACATGGGTATATTACACTTTGGCCTAAAAAGAAAACCTGCCCAACATAGAATTAAAGGCAGAAAATGTCATTAGGTAGCAGTTTAGGTGAAAAAAATGACAGGGTGATTACAAAGTCTGAGACAGTAAATGGCTACTTAAAATCAAATAAATTTTAGTCTGAATATAATGAGGACAGCATCCAATATAAGGTAGATATTAGTCACAGTATAATGGTTAACTCTTATAAGTGGCCTGAGTTAAGATTTCAAGAGTAAATTTTTAAAAATAAAATATATTAATTATATTCATTTGTATTATTATAATAATTTTAAAAATCCTTGAGAATGACAAGAATTACTAATTGGAAGCAATGTCAGTAGGCATGAATCAGAACTGTCCTAGGAAAACCGTCAGATGTATGCATTCCCTATTCTTTGGCTATTTGGAAATTTCTCTTTATAAATTGTTGTCTTTTGTTTATTTGCATGGATTTTGACAAGTGTTCCTAGTTTGTTATATGTATGGTATTTCTTTGCACCATCTGTGGCTTTTATTTATCTTATTCATTTATTTTTTGATAGGGTCTCACTCTGTCACCCAGGCTAGAGTGCAGTGACATGATGATAGCTCGCTGCAGCCAATCTTGACCTCCTGGGTTCAAGGGATCCTCCTGCCTCATCCTCCTGAGTACTGAAAGTAAAGGCATGTGCCACCATGCCCGGCTAACTTTTCAATATTTTGTAGAGATGGGTTTTATGTTACCCAGGCTGTTCTCGAACTCCTGGCCTCAAGGGATCATCTCATCTCAGCCTCCAAAGCACTGGGATTACAGGTGTGAGCCACCGCACCTAGCTCATAATTGTTTTTGAATCAATATAATCAATATATTTGAATCAAGATATAATCAATATAATTGTCTTTGAAGAATGTAAGTTCTTAATTTTAATGTTGCCCAATTTATCAATTTTTGTTTATGGTAGTGCTTTCTACATTCTGCTTAAGAAATATGTGTCTATCTTGAAAAAATAAATATGTTTTTCCATGTTATCTCCTATAGACATGATTAAACTATCTATTACATTTAGGTCTGGAATTCACCTAGAATTGACTCTTCTGGTTTTTGTGAAGTATTGGTAAAGATTTATTTTTTCTTTCAATATTGAGAGCAAATTGACCCATTACCATTTATTGAAAAGACTGACCTTTAACCACTGTTCTAGAGTGACATCTTTATCATATACGTAGTATCTCTATGTATGCATTGCTATATGTGTTTGTTTCTGGACAATATTCTGTTCCAATGTTTTATTTGTCTAGCCTTGAACATTAATACTATTTTAATTGTAGTTTTATAATGAGTGTTGATATTCAGTATTGTACATCCTGAATTTTTTTCTTCTTTAAGTATTTTTAAGCTATTCTTTGAATAAGCTATAAAGCATGCACCTTTACAATTTTAAGATTAGCTTGTCAATTTTCACACGTAACATAAGCACACACACAAATGTCTACTAGATTTTGATTATGACTGCATTGAATTTAGATACATTTGGGAGACTATTTTTGTAATGCTGTTTGTTCCAATCAATAAACATGGTAGACTGGAGGTAGTTCACTGATTTTTTAAAAAATATATTTGTATTTTATTGTTTACCTTTTGTTATATTTTTTCTTGGATATTTGTTATTTCTAGTGCCACAGTTGTCATCATTTAAATATACATATATTTAAAATATACATTATAAATAGCAGCTATATACAAATGAATTTAACTTTTTAAATATTATCCTTGTATACAATAAATTTGCTCAATGTACTTATTCATTTTAGTTTATTTGTAGATTATACTGAATTTTCTAAGTTTATAATAAAATTATAAATACTGATAACTTTATTTCTCCTTTTCTTAAGCTCACATTTCTGCATTTTTCCCCTAAGTACATTGACCAGGACCTCCAGTACAATATTGAGTATAAACAGTCATATTTCTTGACCACTGATTGAAATCTTTCATATTTTATTATTAAAAGTATAATAATTACTGTAGTTTTTGCTGTATGTTCATTTTGAGAATGAAAATTTTACTTCTATTTCTACTTTGCCAAAATCATAAATGGGTATTGTATTTTATTAAATGCTTTTCTGCATATATTGAAATAATCATATCTTTCTACTTCATTCAATGAATGTGGTGATTTGCATTGAGGCATTTTTCTAATGGATTGTGTTTCTAGAATATACATTTTTTGGATATGAAATATTATTCATTTTATACTTTGCTGAATATGGATTGCTATTCCTTTGTTCAGGATGATTACATCTGTTTGTGAGAGATTGCCTGGTAATTTTTCTTCCTCGTACTGTTCTTGTCAGATTTTGATCAAGTATGCATTGCTCATAAAATGATATGGGGGTTATTTTATCTTTTTATTCCCCATAGTTTGGATAATATTCTTCCTGTAAATGTTGAAAAGAATGAATGATTAATGCCATCTGGATCTAAAGTTTTCTTTCTGAGAAAGTTTAGATTGCAGATTTCCATCTTTAATAAAATTAAGACCAGTTTTTTTAGTGCTTCCTGTTAATATTGGTAAACTGTATTATCTACCAAATTTTCTGAATTCATTTAAATTTTCAAATTTTCAAGATGAAGTTTTAAATAGTATCCTCTTATAAACATTTTAAATTCTGACTGTGCATGGTGGCTCACACTTGTAATCCCAGCACTTTGGGATGCTGAAGTGGGAACATTGCTTCAGGCCACGAGTTCGAGACTTGCCTGGGCAACAAAGCATGACCCTATCTCTACAAAACATAAAAAAAATTAGCTGGGCATGCTGGTGAATGCCTGTAGTCCCAGCATTCGGGAGGGTGAGGCAGAAAGAACTCCTGAACCCAGGATTTTGAGGCTGCAGTGAAATACGGCCACACGGCTGCACTCCAGCCTGGGTGACAGAGCAAGACTCAGGCTCTAAAAGAAAAAACAAAATCTGTCAGATCTATACTGATGTTCTCTTTTGCACTTTTGATATTGACAATATATTCTTTCTTATTTTTTAACATATTAATATTGTTAGAAGCTTACCATTTTAATCAACCCTTTCGAAGAATCAAATTGTGGCTTTTTTGATTATCACTTTTATATTTGATTTATGTGTCATTAGTGACTTTGCATAAAATTTGCTGCTTTTTCCCTAACTTCTTAAGGTAAATATTTACACCACTGATTTTTAGGTGTTTTTTTGACATGTATTTTGAGATTAAAAAATATTTATCTGTGAAGAGTTTAAACTGTATTCTACAAGTTTTAACGACACATTTTCACATCAGTGAATAAAAAACACTTTCTATATTTCATTGTGGTTTTGATTTGAGTCATAGGCTATTTAGAAGTTGTGCTAATCTTTTAAACATATTTAAAATTTTTCTGTTATTAATTTTTAACATAAATATTTTGTGGTTGGAAAACATACACCTTCATTACTTCTTTTATTCAAATATTTTAAGGGCAGTATACATTTTTTTTTTTTTTTGAGATGGAATGTTGCTCTTGTCACCCAGGCTGGAGTGCAATGGCGCTATCTCGGCTCAGTGCAACCTCCGCCTCCTGGACTCAAACGATTCTCCTGCCTCAGCCTCCTGAGTAGCTGAGATTACAGGCGCCTGCCACCATGCCTGGCTAATTTTTGCACTTTCAGTAGAGACGGAGTTTCGCCAAGTTGGCCAGGCTGGTCTTGAAGTACTGACCTCAGGTGATGTGCCTGCCTCGGCCTCCCAAAGTGCTGGGATTACAGGCGTGAGCCACCACGCCCAGCCAGCAGCATACATTTTTTATAAATCTTCCATGTGCACTTGACAAAAACTGTTTTCTGGAGTTGATATGTGTGTATTTTACACATGTCAATTATGTTACATTGCTCAATCACATTATTCAAATCTTCTATATTTTTCCTGATTTTTAAATCTACTTGTGATGTGAACTTCAGGTTAAAATCTCTAATGGTGGTTGTAACTTAGCTACATCTCCGTTCAGTACTTCATCTATTTTGAGGCTAACAATATCGTGCACAATCAGAAATGCTATATCCTTCTTTACATTGAAATTTTAATACAATGTTCCTCTTTAGCCAAGTCATGCTTCTTGTCTTAAATTATGTTTATATTGATATTAGTATACCTGCTGTGACTTTCTTCAAATTTGTTTGCAAGTTATATCTTTTTCTACTTTTACATTTCAATGTTTTTCTATTCTTATATTGAAAGTTATTTCTCATCTTCGTTTTTCAGTTTGACAATATTTGAGTATTAAGTGGGTTGTTTAGTCAATTCGTAGTTAATATAATTATTAATATATTTTGATTTAAATATCTCTTCTTATTATTTGTGTTGTTTGTTTCACTCATTGACATTCCTCTTTTGATTTGAACAGTTTTATTGAAAGATAATTTAATAACATTGCTATAAGGTTCACCTATTTAGCACGTATAATTAAGTAGGGTAGTCTCAGAGCTGTGTAATTATCAGCACAATCTAATTGTAGAACATTTTTTATTACCCCAAAAAGAAGCCTGTACCCATTAGCAGTCATCTTACCTCTCTACTTACCCAAACCTAGGCAGCCACTAATGTATTTTTTTGTCTCTATTGCCTATTAGATTGTCTTTAAATGGAATCAAACAATATGTGGTCTTTTGTGACTACCTTCTTTCCAGTAGTATGTCTTTCAAGTTTCATCCATGTTGTAGCATGTAACAGTATTTCATTTAATTATATACCTGAATAATACTCCATTGCGTAGCTATATAACATTTTATTTATCTGTTCATCAGTTAATGGATATTTGGGTCCTTTCTACTTTTATTTATTTTTTTTTTTTTGAGACGGAGTTTTGCTCAGTCGCCCAGGCTGGAGTGCAGTGGCATGATCTCGGCTCACTGCAAGCTCTGCCTCCCCGGTTCACGCCATTCTCCTGCCTCAGCCTCCCAAGTAGCTGGGACTACAGGCACCTGCCACCACGCCCAGCTAATTTTTTGTATTTTTTTTAGTAGAGACGGGGTTTCACCGTGTTAGCCAGGATGGTCTCGATCTCCTGACCTCGTGATCCGCCCGCCTCGGCCTCCCAAAGTGCTGGGATTACAGGCGTGAGCCACTGCGCCCGGCCAATCCTTTCTACTTTTAGCTATTGTGAACAATGATGCTATAAACACTCATGTATAAATTTTGTATGAATGTATGTTTTTATTTCTTTTGGGTATTTATCCAGGAGTGAAATTGCCCAAACATATGATAACTCTATATTTAGTATGTTGAAGAACTACCAAACTGTTTTCCAAAGTGTCTGCGCTATTTTAACTTTGCACCAGCAATATACATATAAACATTTCAATTTTGCCACATTTGCACCAATGATTGTCATTGTGTTTTTCAAATTATAGCCATCCTACTGTGTACAAAATAATATAAAACCATGTTGATTTGCATTTCCTAATGACTAACAATCTGTGTAATATTTCTTGTGTTTATTGGTCATTTATATTTGAAGAAATATACATTCTGACACTGTGCCTATTAAAAAATTGAATTTTTATTTTATTATTAAGACAGTTTTTATATATTCTAGATAAAAGCCACTTATAAGATATATATCTGCAAATATTTTCTCCTATTCTGTGGGTTGTCTTTTGAATTTTTTGTTGCTATTATTAGCAGCAAATTTTTTTTTTTTTTTGAGACGGAGTCTTGCTCTGTCACCCAGGCTGGAGTGCAGTGGCACAGTCTCGGCTCACTGCAGGCTCCGCCTCTCAGGTTCATGCCATTCTCCTGCCTCAGCCTCCCAAGTAGCTGGGACTACAGGTACCCGCCACTACACCTGGCTAATTTTTTTTTTTTTTGTATTTTTAGTAGAGACGGGGTTTCACCATATTAGCCAGGATGGTCTTGATCTCCTGACCTCATGATCCACCTGCCTCAGCCTCCCAAAGTGCTGGGATTACAGGCGTGAGCCACCACACCCAGCTGCAAAATGTTTTAAATTTGATAAACTTACATTTATCTATTTCTTCCTGAGTTTTTAAATTATAGCTAGGAAACCACTAACTAACATAAGGTCATGAAGATGAAATCCTGTGTTCTTCTAAGAGTTTTGTAATTTTAATGGCTACATTTAGACGTATTATCCATTTTGAGTTGATTCTTGTATATGGTTTGAGGTTGAAGTCCAACTTTATTCTTTTCATGTAGACATACAATTACCTTAATTCTTCATATATAGATTATTTTTGTTCTTTGACTGTATTCATAATAACAGATTTAAAATATTTATCCAATAAGTATAGGAGCTGAGTTCCCTCAGGAACAGTTTTTATGAACTCTTTCATTCCCCTATTAGGGACTATACTTTCCTCTTCACGTGCCTTACAATTTTGCTAAAACCTGGAAATTTTAGATAAGTTAATGTGGCAACTCTTGAAATTAGAAATGAGATTGTCTCCTCATTTTGTTTTCTGTTTGTTTGGTGAATTTTCTGGGCTAATTCTGTAACATTAGAATTAATTATGTTCGGTTAGCTTAGTGGTCAACTAATGATTGGTCAGAGATTTCTTGAATGTCTTGAACCAGCGGGCCTTCCTTCTGTCCTTTGTCAGTCAGCTTGAAATTGTCTGAGAACACAGTATTAACACTCAGACAGTTTAAAACTCTGCCTTGGCCTTTTCTCTCACTTGCATAGGATTTCCAGGTCAGACAATGGAGAGAGGCTGGAGTGCATTTTGGATTTTTCCGGGCCTGCACAAAGCCCTGCACATGTGCACAATCTGCTAAGTCCCCAGAAATATGTCAGAACTTTGCAAAGCCCCCATGGTTACCACGTTCCTCAAATCTTCCTTTTAGGGGCTCTCTTATTGCTTCGACTGGTATCATAGTCTCAGTCAGCTGCAATGTTACATAATTGCTGCTGATTTTTTTCAATACATGCCTGGTGATAGGGCTTTTTTTTTTTTGGTGGAACAAACTGAGTCAGGCCAGATAAAAACAACACCCTGTGAATGGGCCTTTCTCAGGGACCAGAAATTGGTATGAAATACTGACAACGCTCTAGGATGGGACTTTCTGAAGACCTCCTCATGCAGACTATTCCTTCCTTTAGCTGCAAGGCTGCAGTTGTTCACAACTACTGCAATTGTTAGTCTGCTGTCTTTCCAAGTTACCACAGGCCTGGGAGAGGAAGATAGGAGTACATCAAATTAATAATACTACCAAGGCCAGGCATGGTGGCTCATTCCTGTAATCCCAGCATTTTGGGATGCCGAGGTGAAAGGGTCACTTGAACCCAGGAGCTTGAGACCAGCCCAGGCAACATAGTGAGACCCCATCCCAACAACATCAACAACAAAAAGACCTAGGCATGGTGGCATGTGCCTATGGTCCCAGCTACTTGAGAGGCTGAGTTGGTGGGATTGCTTGAGCCTGGGAGGTTGAGGTTGCAGTGAACCATGGTCACACCACTACACTACAATCAAGGTGACAGATGGAGACCCTGCCTCAAAAAGAAAAATAAATAAAATACTACCAATCCTCTTTTCACTTAGGTTTAGCACAGTTTTTTGTTCTGTTTAGTTCAGTTTTGTTTCTGAATAAATGATCTTCAGAGGGCAGCCAGCCTTTGGTTAATTTCTATGGTTCTGAAAATGTTATTTCTAGCAATATTTGCCAAATGTTTTCCTTGCTTTTACAGAGGACGAGTTTAACAGAAGTCTTCACTTCACCATTCCAGAAGTGTCCTTCACTCTAGTTTCTTTTTACTTATTATCATATTGTGACTAATTAAATATTTTGTTGCATGCCATTTCCACATTCATTTGCTAATTTTAAATACTTTCGGCTTTCATTTAGCAGACCTTCTTGCAATTAAAATATATTTTAGACTAATGTAATTCGGTAATTTTACTTTTTCTCAGACAATTCAGTAATGTTACAATATTTTAGTGCCATTTCACCTTATGCGTTTTGTGTCATTTTTACTTTGTACTTAAATTTTCTATATAGAACATTGTCTTTATAGTCATTTATCCTTTAAATTTACCCACGTTACCATTGCTTTTGTATTATATTTCTTTTTGTGTTTCTATCCTTCCATTTGGGATTATTTTTCTTCTGCCCAGAGTATTACCTTGAGTATTTTTGTAGTTTCGGTCAATTGGTGGTAAATTTTCCCAGTTTTTAAAATGTGAACAAGGAAACCTTTACTTTTTAATTTCTATTTTGGGTATGTTCACTGGGCAGACAAGTCTAGATTGATAAGGGTTTATATTGTTGCTGTTTTCAGTTTTTTAATGATGCCATTCAATCATCTTCTGGATTCTATCATTTCATTGAGAAATAAGTTTCATTCTCATTGTTTCTCCTTTGAAGATCACATGTCCATTTGTTCCAGACACTTTTCAGATTTTCTCTTTGTCTTTGGTTTTCAGAAGGTTGAAGATGTGTATAGGTGTGATTTTCTTTCTATTTATTCTCCTTTGAATTTGTAGAATCTTAATAACACTTGAAAATGATACTTCAATTTCATTCTCCTGCCCTTTGCTTGTGGGACTTCAATTAAATCTATGTGAGACTTTTCCTAAATCTCATATTTTTTACACTCTTTTCTATATTATCTATCTTCCCCCAACCTCTAGCCTTAAGTCTAGATATTTTCTGTTATTTGCCAACTTAATTACCTCATCTTGTGTTTGTTGTTCTGTTAAAACTATCTACAGAAACATCAATTTCAGTTATTGAATTTTATAGTTCTATAATTTTGAATTGAGTATATTTAAGTAGATTCCATTTCTGAGTTTAAATTCTTCATTCTGTTATGCATTTCCTTGAATGAATTTATCAAAATTTGTTAAATATCTGTTCCTAGATACAGAAATATCTTTCATTCCCCTGTGATATTGTTTGGATGTGAGTTCTCTCCAAATCTCATGTGGAAATATAATTTCCAGTGTTAGAGTTGAGGCCTGGTGGGAGGTGTTTGGATTATGGGGGTTTATTTCTCATGAATGGCTTAGTCCATCCGCTTGGTGATGAGTGAGTTCATTCTTGGGAGATCTGGTTGTTGTAAAGTGTGGCATCCTGGCCCACCCCCATCTCTCTTGCCTCTGCTCTGCCATGGGAAATTCCTGGTCCCCTTTAGCCTTTCTCAATGACTGTAAGCTTCCTGAGGCCTCCCCAGAAGCAGATGCTGGTAGTATGCTTCTGGTACAGCCTGCAAAACCATGAGCCACTTTAAAGCTCTTTTCTTATAAATTACCCAGTCTCTGGCATTTCTTGGCAGCAATGCAAGAATTGCTTAATACACTCTGCATGTTAATTTATATTTTATAGCTTTTCTCTCAAATATTTTCAGTCATTTGGTCTTCTAGTAGGCTTGGTAATTTTTTAAAATTAAATTCCAGCCATTTGGTATAAAAATACAGAGTTATTTTACTGTTATTTTAGTCCCATTGATGTTATATTTATTTAAAGCATATTTATATTTTTATTTTACTTTATTTTTTTGAAAGTCAAGGAAGGGCCAGATTACATTAATACATACTTCTATTGAGGTTATTCATTTCAGTTTTTGTGAAAGTTGGTCTTTTTTAAATTTTGTGTTTTCTGCTGTTTATAGACCTTCTTGGGTTCCAGTGGAAAGACTGGGGTTTTCCTAAGACCTTGGCTAGTTTGAACTGCACTTTTTCTCCTCAGCACCATGCAACTGCCTAATGCTCTGCACAACTTCTAGGTTTCTTAGAAACCCTCCTACTTTATTTTCTCCTCAGCTTTGGGCTTCTTGGCTAAGACTCAGCAGTGACAATTTCCTTGATGAAGTTTTGGCTCACCTCTTTATGTACTTTTCTCTTTGTGATACTTTTCTTTTTTTTCTTTTTTTTTTTTTGAGATGGAGTCTTGCTCTGTCGCCCAGGCTGGAGTGCAGGGGCGCGATCTCGGCTCACTGCAAGCTCCGCCTCCCAGGTTCACACCATGGCCTCTGGAGTAGCTGGGACTACAGGCGCCCGCCACCACGCCCAGCTAATTGTTTTATATTTTTAGTAGAGACGGGATTTCACCGCGTTAGCCAGGATGGTCTGGATCTCCTGACCTCGTGATCCGCCCGCCTCGGCCTCCCAAAGTGCTGGGATTACAGGCGTGAGCTGTGATACTTTTCAATATGTCCTTTGCCTTTGTAGATCACAACACTCTTGCAACAGTGATATAGAAAATATTTTATTCAGTTTTTCTAGTTGTCGTCTTTAGAAACAATCTGCCAATACAAGCTCATCTTCCACAGCCAAAGCAGAAGTCCTGGCATTATTTTTATTTTAGGAGAAGTATTAACAATCCTATAACAAAATCCTGTAGTAAGAAAAATAAAATAGTGAAGTTTCTAAATGAATGCCATTTAAGAAACAAATAAATCCATTATTGATAGCTGGCCTAGAAGAGAGAAAATACAGACGAGTCATAAAGTTTTGAGATATTTAGATGATTGTTTATTGCAAGAAACAATTATTTTATTTAATGTGCATTTATTAGATTTAACTTAAACTGATAGAAGTAAATTTTACTTCCATTTAAGAAAGTCTTTGCTGACAATTCAAACACTTATAAATACAACAAACTGTTCTTTTTTTTTTTTTTTTTTTTTTTTTTTTTGAGACGGAGTCTCTCCCTGACACCCAGGCTGGAGTGCAGTGGCGCGATCTCGGCTCACTGCAAGCTCTGCCTCCCGGGTTCATGCCATTCTCCTGCCTCAGCCTCCCAAGTAGCTGGGACTATAGGCGCCCACCACCACGTCTGGCTAATTTTGTTTTTGTATTTTTAGTAGAGACGGGGTTTCACCATGTTAGCCAGGATGGTCTCGATCTCCTGACCTAGTAATCCGCCCGCCTCGGCCTCCCAAAGTGCTGGGATTATAGGCGTGAGCCACCGCGCTGGGCCAACAAACTTTTCTATATAAAGTACAATTCTCTCTAGCACAGGGAATAGAATTAGAGTGCCATGTTGAATCCATTTTAAGAATGTTATAAGAGGCTATGAAATTAGAAGAAAGCTAAACTCTAAATAGTCTTTGAAGAATATTTTAGGTTAATAAACAAATTGGATAGAGTAAATTTTCCATACAGGAAGACTGTCCTGTTTAAAAGGTGCGATTAAAAAATACAAAATTTTTTGAGTGAAGAGGGCTAATGGGTAGCACTGTCTAGATGAAGAGTTTGTATTGGTCAGTCACAAAGCTAGTCTCTACTAGAAATAAACTTCTATCAAAGATCCTTTAAAAAGGCCAGGTGTGGTGGCTTATGTCTGTAATCCCAGCGCTTTGGGAGACCAAGGCGGGAGGATTGCTTTAGTCCAGGAGTTCAACAACAGAGTAGGCAACATGAGGAAACCCCATTTACACAAAAAAATACCCAGGTGTGGTAGGTTTTACTTGTAGTCCCAGCTACTTGGGAGGCTAAGGTGGGAGCCTGGGCGACAGAGTAAGACCCTGTCTCAAAAACAAACAATCCCAAAAGGAAAGATTTTTTAATAATTTATTGTACTGTAGAAACCAAGGGAGAACTTTCCTCTTGGCCCTCTGAAGATTCTGATTCTCTGAAAATGAAATTGAAAAAGACAGATTAATAAGAGAAAAGGCACATAAATTTATTTAATGTGTATACATGAAAGCCTTCAGGATGAAGACCCAAAGATACAGGGAAAATTGCCCACTTTTATAATTATATTCAACAAAGTATGGACAGTTGTGTTGAAATATGACTGGACAAAAAGAGTATGATTTAATGTTAATAGACTAATAAATTGAGTCTGTTTAGATTCTTTTCAGCTTCTCTGAGCATGCATTACTTTCATATATGGGGAAGAACCCTCTCTGGACTGAGGGTTTTATGACCGGCAGTCAAACAGGTAGGTCAGATAATTTCTTTATGGCCAGTTTTTACACAGAAAGGCAGGGGAAAAGTTATATTTTTAGGTTTTATGTTGGCTTTTGGGAAAAGAGGTACTGGTTTCTACAACTCTCTCTGGGGAAGAGGGATTCTAGCTTGGAGGGCTAGCTTTGGGGGTCAATGGGACTGAGAGATGGGAGGACAGGAGAAGATGAGAGAAAACTTTTACTTCTAAGGCTGCTTTGGAGGACTTCATTTTGGGGCATTGTTTTTGAACCCTAATAGTATTTATGTTTGTGGATTTTTTTGTACTTTCCTACCAGACTGTAAGATCTTATAATAGAATAATGTTTTTCCTCCTATCCTTCTCTTCAGGTAGTAGAGATTCACAGAAAATTTTGGGAAGGAAAGAAATATGTTAAAAATCAGTATTTTGAAAATATCGTATTGAGGGTGACCAGAGGTAGAACAGAAATCCATGCAGACTGAAAGTGGCAAGTCTCACTAGGAAGCTTTCTGTAGCACAGTGGGAAAAAAGATGAAGGCATGAAAGAACATGGTGGAATAACTGACATAACTCAGTAGACATACTGCAGAAAACTTTAAAAAGAGAGACATGATTCCCAGTCTATCAACCGGTAGAATATTGATTTCATTTGCAGAAACTGGCAAGGAGCATTCCCTCAGCATGTGATATTTCGCATCACAGTGTTATGAATTTTTCACCTTCATATCATTTATTATAACTTATAATCACGTTTTCACTGTAATCTAATATCCACCCCCTACAGGATAATTTCAGAGACATCTGCATCTTTCATTGAAACCCCTGTGTTCCCATAGTGAAACTGCCTTTGCAAAAATTATAACAGTGAGAAAATGTTAACAGTGAAAGAGATCTGACAAAACCAACTCCATCTAGCCTTTAATCTCCAAACTGCCCATGTTCATTCCCGGGCATAGGCCAAGCTAACTCTACGAGGAGTTTACTTTACAGTTTAACTTTGAAACAAACAAGATAACTGCCTTTCCTGAAACAAACTCTTTCCTGGCATGGGAACAAGACCACCTTTGTAAAACTAACAAATTAGCAACCAGATTAGAAATCATGGTTTAGGAGTCATACAGCTAGATGCCTCAAGATTCCCAACCTCCTCAATTGCTCTATGGGTAATATTACTATTACAAAACCTAAAATTGGTGTTTGGGATATTTTTAAGACCCCGTATTCTGATAATCTGGCTCAACTAGTTCTGCGATCCCACCGAGGAACAGCAAGAAGCAAGACAGCAAGAAGACCCGCTTCAACCCTCTATGATTTCATCTCAGACCTGACCAATCAGCACACTCCATTCCCTAGCCTGCTGTCCACCAACTAGTTATCTTTAAAAAACTCTAGCCTCTGAATTTTCAGGGAGGGTGATTTAAGTAGGAATAACTCTGGTCTCCTGTTTAGCCGTCTCTATATGGATTAGATACTCTCTGTATTGCAATTCCCTTGACTTTGATCAATTGGCTTTATCTGAGAAGCAGACAAGATGAACCTGCTGGGTGGTTACAATAGCATTGTAGTCATTGACACATCTTTGCATCATTATTATCTGATGGCATTTTGTTAATTACTATGTTAAATGTTGGTATCTCCCCCAACCAGACTATAAGTTTGTAAATGCTTAGAGCTGATTGTCTAAATCCTATCTGAATGACAAATCTTTCATTTAAAGATAAAAAATCTTATTTTATCTTTGATGTAACCTATTCTGCTAGAATTGGGCTAAAATGAACCTTATAATGGATAGAAATAAATGAATAATTTATTATCATTCCCATACAAAAATATAGCTATTCCTGAAGCTTCTCAACTTTTAACTTAAAACCAAAATGACAAACACTTAGAAATGTTAGCTTTAGTAAATTTGCCAAGAGTGCTCTGAGATCCTAATTATAGCTAATATTCACTTCCATCATCCAATTTGTTTTCTGCTGCAGCTAACCTAAATGTAATCTCCTGAGTGTCTGCAATTTGGATCCCCTTTCCATTGAATTATAAAGGTCAAAGAACTGGATTTTTAAGATATGATAAAAGCCCATCTGAAACTGATTTAAGCAATGCAGAAATGCATTATCTTGTGAGGAAATGGGTAGAGGTTAGGCAGGTTCCCCTTCTAGCATATCAGGGGTCAATCATCCTGTATGGGTGTTTAGGAAAAACAAACTATTTTATTCTTTATACACACAACACTTCTGACACCAAATGTGTGGGAGTTTTCCCCACACCAAACAATTCTCCAATTCTCTTTAAACAATAAGCAGTGTTACACAATTCAATTAAATTCTGATACTATTTACCGAGAGCTATTTTAGACTTCACAGGTTAAGGGCTCAATTGTACAATACTGACACCCCCACCTCCCCATTTCAGATGCCAATCACAAGTCCAGGTTGTCACCTGTATTTCTAACCAATTAGCTATAAACTGGGGGTTTACACAACCCCCACCTTGCGTTTGATCATTTGTAAGAACTGCTCATAGATCTCAGGAAAACCATTTACTTCTTATATTACCAGTTTATTATAAAAGGATAGAACTCATAAACAGTCAAACAGAAGAGATGCATAGGGCAAGGTAGGTGGGAAGAGGCTGAGAGCTTCCATTCACTTTGAGTGCACCCCATGCCCAGCACCTCTGTGCATTCACCAACCTGGAAGTTCTCAGAATCCTGTCCTTTTGTGTTATTATGGTGGCTTAATTACATGGACATGATTGACTATATCATTGGTTGTTGGTGATTAATCTGTAGCTCCTCTACATTCCCCAGAGGCTGGGGAGTCGGAAGGAAAATTCTAACCCTCTAGTCACATGGTTGGTTCCCTTGGCGATGAGCAGTCTCCATCCTGTGTTTATCTAGGGCTTTCCAAAACTCATCTCATTTACATAAACTCAGGTAAACATTTTATGAATAACAAAAAACACTCCTCTTACATTTATCACCCCCATAATTTAGGAAATTCCGAGGAGTTTAGGAGCTTTGGCCAGGAAGGAGTAAAAGAATCAAATATATATTTCCCATTATAAATCACAGTATCACAACATACTGTGATACTTTAGTTGTTCTCAGCAATTGCAGATGTCACATCTGCATAGAATAATACCCAAAGTACAAGGCAGACTTGTCTCTTTAACTCTTTATTAGGAGTGAGGGATTCTTCTTAGCACTCCCCCTTTAGATTTGTCCTGATGTTTCATTGGTCCGAATCACATACCCAACCTTAAACAATTACTGCTGTAGGAGACTAAAAATACGCCACCCAATGTAGGGCTGTAGGAAACCCAAATATGCCACCCCAAAATATGTCACTTTGGCATAAAGATCATTTCGAGCTGATTATTTTGAGAAACTGCAGACATAGGAGAAACTGTAAGAGAGTAGAAGTTACCTCATTAGGAAAATGTACATCTATTAAAAAAAAATTTGTAAGGGTGTCTCAGGTTTCTGTACCAGGAAGAAAAGGATGACTCTAAACCATTAGAGACTTCTATCAATGAAGCAGGCACCAAACCTTGCTCTTGTTTACTTCTCCTGATCACTTTCCCATTAGTGTGCTTCCTCACACACTTCTTTCTGTTTCAGTTGAACATTGTATTTCAGCCTGAACTATTTCTTTGAGATTTAGTCATTTCTCTGAGTATCTCCCAATTATATAGGAGGCATACATCTTATTAAGCTTCTGTTTGTTTTTCTCTTGTTAATTTATGTATTGCTACAAGGGTCAGTCCTACCAAGGAACTGTGAAAGGCAGAGGGAAAATTAGTTTTTCCTCTACTACACTGCAAAATAGAGTGGAATCTCTGTAACTGTCCTAGGCTCATCATGATCCACTGTCTGTTCTTCTCACTGGAATCCTTTCCTCCTTAATCATGTGGAAAAAAAATCAAATAACAGAATAAAATCTAGACACTTTTAGAAAGAAGGGAAAACATGGGTTTGTGGTAGCTATCTAACAGGGTGAACTTTAGAAGTTCTCTGAAGTTTTTGCTCAAAAGAAAGAATTTTATTTGGGGAATAAATCTTAACCAATTTTGTGGCAAGAAAATGCGTTTTTTTAATGTTTTATTATTATTATTTTTTTGGAGACAGAGTCTTTCTCTGTTGCCCAGGCTGGAGTGCAGTGGCATGATCTCGGCTCACTGCAAGCTCTGCCTCCCGGGTTCACACCATTCTCCTGCCTCAGCCTCCCGAGTCGCTGGGACTACAGGTGTCCACCACCACACTTGGCTAATTTTTTGTAGGTATTTTTTAGTAGAGACAGGGTTTCACTGTGTTAGCCAGAATGGTCTCGATCTCTTGACCTCATGATCCGCTAGCCTTGGCCTCCCAAAGTGCTGGGATTACAGGCATGAGCCACCATGCCCAGCCAAATGAGGTTTATTTTTTATGTATATTAGGTGTATTAAGATTTTATATGATAAAATTAAGAAACAATGAAAATCATCAAAATTACCTTAAGAATAACATTTATTTCAAATGCTAGTTACACATATAATAAATTCAGAATCATGTTAGAGTATCACATGGAATTCTGGGGTATCCTCTAAAAGATTGAATTTTGCACCCATGAATCATCATGTCATCTGCTGACAGTTGTAAGAATGTTGCTGAAGGTTTGAAGCATTCAGGTTTATTGTTGACTAAACGGTTTTCAGGTTTGTTTATCAATAGTATTGTAGGGAAGTTTAAGTTTTTCTCTGAAGGTTTGATAACTTGAGTTTATAACACAAACTGATAATAGAGAGATTAAAAGGAACATAAGGTAAACAAGTTTATTAACATGCACATGTGTGCCTGGGAGTCATACAAAATATAAAAACTCAAAAAAAGGGGGCCAGAGTGTTGACGCTTTCACACCATCTTAAGGTTAGTGTAAATAGTAGGGTTTGGAGCATGGCAAAAGAGGTTATCGGGACAAGACAGTGAGAAATAAAAATCAAAAACTAAGCCTCTCCAGACAACTGAATGGACCCCTCACTTGTTCAAGGGGATCCCAGAAAAACTTTCGAAACTGAGTCCCTGGCCATGATGGGATGAGAGGTTTGACATGCCTCAATATGCCCCTTATTAACCTTTAACCAAATTTCTTTCTTAAGGAGTAAACAGAAGAAACCAGCTCTGGAAACAAGTAACAGATGACTCATTCCTTCGTTGCCTTGAGCCAATCATCTGGGGCCACAACTGGACTCCTCCTCTGGTTTGTTGTCCAGACATAGCAGCTGACCAACATTCCTTCCTGATAACAGACCATCAACCTGGGAGTGGTTCTGGCCAGTCTATGGAGGATGCGCAGTAAGGGTTTTCATGTCCTTTGTTCCACCTTTTGATATTAGAGACTCCAACCTCGAATCATGCTAACACCACCATTTTTTGAACATGCCACCCATGAAGGGGCATGAAGCTCCATTGTGCATACACATGTTTCGCCTTTAGTAAATTTTCATGACTCCTATGGCTTATTAAATACATACCTTCAGCCACCTACCCTGCTTGTCTAAGCATAAATTTCTGTTTCCTTCAACCATTCCTTAAGTGCTTGCTTTCAACAGCGCCAAAGGCTATGTACGCCTCCCAGCCTGTCAGAGTGGCCACCTTACAGACTTCAATGCTTTATGAAAAATAATGCTCTCCTTTCCAAATTTATGAACCTTGCAATTCTTCAATTGACAAAAGGTTAGTAGAAGTAGAGAAGAGGAAGAAAAGCATGGAGCAAAGGTGCTCTTTTTATGCAGATGAAATTTCACAGGTAGCCGCTTTCAGAAAGAAACCCTATCCTGTGGCAAACGTTTCTCTGTCAGAACTTTAAAGATGTCAAACCCTCTTTTAGTCTTTCCTAGATTTGGACAAGAGGGGAGAGCCTCAGAGAAAGCCTGGCTGTTTATTTATTTATTTTATTTTATTTTATTTTTTTGACAGAGTCTCGCTCTGTCACCCAGGCTGGAGTGCAGTGGCGCAATCTCGGCTCACCGCAAGCTCCGCCTCCCGGGTTCATGCCGTTCTCCTGCCCCAGCCTCCCAAGTAGCTGGGACTACAGGCGCCCGCCACCACGCCCGGCTAATTTTTTGTATTTTCAGTAGAGACGGGTTTTCACGGTGTTAGCCAGGATGGTCTTGATCTCCGGACCTTGTGATCCGCCCGCCTCAGCCGCCCAAGGTGCTGGGATTACAGGCGTGAGCCACCGCGCCCAGCCTGTTTATTTCATTCGTGCATATTTTCTCTACAGATGCAACTCTCCTCCATGTAAGACAACTTTACAGGACTATTCTTGTCTGTAGCCTCTCTGAGTAGCCATCTGAAAATATGGCAAAAAGTATATTTTAAGGTAAAATATTTTAAATTTCCTTTAATGTTATTTTTCCCTGGGAAAATGATAGGAATTACACTGAAATGCAAATATATGTTTTGAAAATTAACATAATCCATTTAAAATCACACACAAAGGAAAAGGTTTCAAATGTTAGACATAATTACCTATTATCTATCTATTATCTGTCTGCCATCTATCTATAATTGTATCTATATATCAATCTCATAACCATAGCCACCACCTGCAGTGTTTTTAGAATCCAAGTCCAATATTTGTCTTTTCCACCCAATCTTTTCCCTCAATTCTTCTCTGGCATTGAGTTTTATAGAGAAAATAATGTTCTTAGATTTCTGAAGCTAAGTACAGAGAGGCTTGGTAAACACTAGTTGACAAAAAAAAAAAAACCCAAAAAAAAAACAAAAATGCAATTATCCCTCAACAGCCCTTCCATTCAGCAAACCCTATCCCCTGAGTATTTAAGAGGCACTTGTGAAACTAAGCTAACCCAACCAATGCCATCTTGCTTCTAACTTCCAAGCTGTCCTTGTCCATTCCTGGGCATAGGCTGAAATAACGTTGGGAGGAACTTAGTTAATAGTTTAACTTTGAAACAAAGATGATAACAGTCTTTTCCCAAAACAAACCCTCTCCTTGCCTGGAGACTAGATTGCCTTTGCAGGACTAACAAATTAGCCACAAGATTCGAAATTACGGTTTAGGAGCCATGCAGCTAGATCAAGGTCACAAGATTCTAAAATCTCCCCAATTCCTTCTATGGATAACATCACTATTGTAAAATCTAAGATTGGTGCTTGAGATGGTTTTCATACCCTGCATTTGATGGATCAGCTGGCACCACCCAGATCAATAAACTGACTCATCTGGTCTTGTGACCCCCCACCCAGGAACTGACTCCGTGGAAGAGGAAAGTTTTGATTCTCTATAATTTAATCTCTCACCCAACAAATCAACAGTCCCTACTTCCTGAACCTCTGTTCACCAAATTATTATTTAAAATCCCAGTCCTCATCCAGGGGGGCTGATTTGAGTAATAATAGAACTCCAGTCTCCCATACAGCTGGCTCTGAGTCAATTAAATTCTTCATTGCAATTCCCTGTCTTGATAAATCAGTTCTCTCTAGGCAGCAGGCAAAGATAACCTATTGGTTGGTTACACTTGGATCTTTGGGATCTGCTTGCTATCTCCTTTCTTTTTATTAACATACAGTTTTTATCTTTATCGAAATCTCTTCCTATTTTTAGATAAGATAGGCTCAGTAAATACCTAAGGAAAACAGAAAGATCTTGGAATTAAGTGACATGATGAACATCTACTCTTTTTATTAGAATCAGGTAGCAAGTAGGTTCTTCGGTGGATATAGAAGATGATATTTCAGTCTTCCTAATTTCTTTAAAACTCAGCACCAGTTTTGGTGGAGGGAATGGTCCCAGGCTGATGAGATATGAAAGAAATTTTCTTGTACACTCCCTGAGAAATTTTGAATTAACTTGTGGTGTCTGGTCTTACTATATGGCTTAGATAGAATCTGTATCTGAAAACAATGTAAATTTTTATACCATTTATGGATAAGCAAATCTTCATTTTAGGGAACTTCAATTTCTGCATTTTATCTCTTGCCCTGGTGAGGGTGATAGCAGTGTGTGATAGTGGTGATGGCAGTGGGGCTGGGGGGTTCTTAGAGACAGATATGGAAGATAGCTAAGATGGTAAATGTCTAAGTATTGAGTCCGTGGTCACTAGAAATTTCAAGGGGTAACACAGTCACTATAAATTCCAAGGGATAACATGGTCCCCACTGTTGACCAAGTCTGAACAGCTAGATGAGAAAGATGATGACTGGTATAAAGTCTGACAATTGTTTACGAGGTGATTAGCTAATCTGAACTTCTAGTAAGGGAAGAAGTATCAGTTTAGGCACTAACTGCTTGATTAGTCTGATAAAGTAGAATCCGAACATTTTGTGGCAGCTGATCGTTCTTCATCATTAATGAGAAAAACTCATTTTCCACTGTATGAGAAAAGGGTGTGGACATTCTTATGTTTGAAAGCCCTGACCACCATCAGCCCAATCACATCCACAGAGGGCCTGTTGGGGCTCAAAAAATCATACCTGAAATTATGACACTTGGGCATTCTTTGAACTGAAGGATATTGGAAGGGCCTCAGAAGCAAGGTATCCTTCAAAACTTCTCCTGCTCTTCTTTCTTTTGCTCCTCCTCTTCCCTCAATGCAAACCATATAAACTGGAATACCTCTATCCCAAGGCAAGTCTTAATCCTAGAAATATTACTGTAACCTTCCCCCACCTTTCCATGTAGGAGCTGGCCATAAAGGAATTCTCTGACCTTCCTCGTCTAGTGGTAGGACATAAGATCCTCAGTCCAGAAGATCTACTGCCCTATATCTAGGAAGAAGTGATGCCACAGAGACAGACCAAGAAAGAATCAACACAGACAGGTCTTGCTATATTTCCTCACTCAGTCTCTTACCATGAAATAATGCTTTTTTAATCCAGTCACATTTTTACATGGCTGCCCATTTTTCATCAAATTTAAGCATAAAAATAGACAGTTTTTCCTGAGTCTTTGGGTCTTCATTTCTGAATACTCCCACACAACATAAAACTTTCATTCAATAAATGTCTTCTGCTTTTTTCTTCTTAACCTATCTTCTGTTATTGGAGTGTCAGCCATGACCTTTATGATGAGTGAAGAAAAGTATTATACCTTTTCTGCCCCTACAGACCAAACAGGAGTCAGTATGGAAGGGAGGAGAGAAAATTGAAGTTACATCTGCTGAGGGAATAGAGGAATTCTGAAGCAAGGCACAAAATATGTGCATGTAAATTTAAAAATAAATATTTTTATTTCAAGCCAGTGTCCAAAATCTATTGAAATAAAATTCAACAGAAAGGAATTTAAACAATAATACTATTTATTGAGTCTATAATGTATAGCATTGAATTAAGAAACCTGTAACACTTTCTGTAATATGTCTTTGACTAAATAGTAGCTACAAGTCATTGAGAACTTACTGACAGACACTATGCCATGTGATTGACATATATGATTTAATTCAAGTTTAAACAATCATAAGATATAGAGGCTTTAATTATCTCCATTTTACATGTATAACAACTGAGGCTCAGATGGGTTAAAAACTTTGTCTGAGATCACCAAGAGTTGTAGCTAGAATTCTTAGCAACATCTAACTCCAGAGCTGACACATGTAACTAGTTTGCTATACTGCTTAAGTAGTTTAAGGAAATACTAATGTTAAAATCGAGTTAGATTTGTTTCCCCCAAACACATGAACTATTTTCTCCTTCAATTTCCATGCAAATTCTCTAATAAGCTCCTAAATATCTACATTTACACGAAATTCAGATTCAAATGTAATGCAGTGGTCATGCTACTTGACAGCAATCTTGCCAATTAAGCAGCAGTCCTAATTGGAAGAATTTTGTACTGTGCATACACATTCGCTGTGTTCTCAGCTTGCAGCTGCTGGCATAGACATCATTAGAATCTAGGAAAACAACTATTTCCAAGTGAACATCAACATAATGCAAAACACGATAAGTCAGGAAGTGAATAAATTTGAATAAAAGTTAGCAAATGGGTAAACAGACTGTAATAAGACAAAGTGGAATGTTTTCTGAGGTCCAATGTCAAAGTTGCTCATGAAAAAGAGGAAGTTAGATATTTAACAGAAATGAATAATGAGAAATTTTGTTTCACATTTTATGTAACAGAAATTACAAATATGTTGCCTATTTTACTTTGGTCTTATTTCATTTCGGGGGTGTTTGTGTGTGTATGGTTTAGTACTTAGATGACAGAATACTCTCTCGTATGTTTCATGGCTTTTTCTAACTTCTCTCAGATAATATATCACTTGATGGGCATTGTACATGAACTTTTATTTTTCTCAAAGCAACACTATCATAGTTCTTCCCTGGATGACAAGGTTGTTCGTTTTATAACCTGAGATGAGTAGAGAAGAAAATATATATTGAAAACTTTTTTTTTATTTAGTGTGTCCATTTAAAGCTTAACTGTTTCCCCTTCTCCCTATTTCTTGATTTTTTTTTGCTGTGGAAACTAGGCAGGCACTAAATGATATTTAATAGAGTTTTTATTCATAACTAATATCGATTTATAATACATTATTTTTGCTGATATTTATTCCAGCAAAGAAAACAAGCTGCAGCACTCTTTTTCTCCCTATTCTGCTTCCTACATCCCTCCCTTAGAGTGATTAATCTAAGAAAATGCTGTCATGTTTCCTGTGATTGGTGGTGAAGATGCACTTCCTACTGCTTCATTTATTGCAGATCGTAAATATCCCCATTCATTTTTTCACTTCATTCCCTCTAAACATTTATTCCCAGCCCACACCACGGAGACCTGTTTTGATCTACACCTCTGTTTCCTCCTGGCTTTCTTCCAACTTTAACACAGCATTTTTTTTTTCTAATTACCTTGCTTTCTCTCTCTTCAATTTTAGTTAAAATATCTTGAAGAGCAGTGGGAATTCACTGCCTCCACTTCCTCAGCTCTAGTTCCTGTCTCCTGCAGTCTGATTTCTCCACTGAAACTTGCAGGTGAAGCTGCTCTTGTAAAGCTCAACAATGGCCTCCATCCAATAAAAATGTTTCAATAATTGCAGGTTTCCCTGACACATTACACTCTATTGAACACTCTTTATTTATTGACATTTTTCACTCACTAGCCATCAACATTCCTACACTCTACTGTTTGTTCTCACACATGGTCAGTGGTATACACTGGCCATGTGTTCTCTGTCTTGCTAGGATTCTCTAACTCTTTTCACTCTGCAATTATGTTTGCTCCTGTGTTTCTATCCTTAATATATTTTTCTGTCTACATATTCCCTTTGTGCAGTCTAATTCATTCTCATGTTTTATATACCTAACATGCTTGAAAAAATATAATGATGTCACATACCCATAGTATCATCATGCTGTCAGCCATACCACACAAATTAAGCTCTTATTATGTGAAGAAGTTATACATGGCACCAAGAAATTTCATATTTTGACTCTTATTATTTGTTGGACACAATATTAGTCTCTTTAACTCTTTACTGTAGCCCTCTGAGAAAGGGTTGATAATTCCTAATGTTATAAATAAAGAAACCCAATCTCAGAGAACACAAGTAAATTTTTAGATAGTATCACTGGTTATTGCAAAGACAAGATTGAGAATGAAATTGTTCTGACTGCAAAATTCATGATCTTTTCATTATACAATTTTTATCTTTCTAGGCTTTATGATCAAAGGGCGTACATTCTTGCTGAGTAGATATAGCATATAAGGACTTGGTATTCAAGGCTTCTGTGAGGTATAAGCTACCCCTTCACTGATCTCTACACAATCATGTTCATGCCAACCTTCAAATCTTTCTTTGCCTGAGAAATGGTGAAGAATTATTCAAAGGTTATCAAATTTTAAGTCAGCTCACCTGTTCATCTTCCATAAAGCCTTCTCTAGCTCTTTCTACTATTATTGAGTACTTGCTCCCAATTCTGAATTCTTATAAGCATCTTCTTTCAGCCCAAATTCTAGAATATCTATTTTTGGTGCTCTTCCATTTCTTGCTTTTTTGGAGGGGAGAATAGAATTTTCATAAAATTAGAAACCTGTAGAAGCTTGTGATGGTTAAAGACTTTGTCTTTGACACTATATCTGGAAAAGGGCAAGCAAAGAACTATCACTCAATAAATATATTGTTAATTTTATTAAATTTAAAATTGAACTAAATTGCTTTGTGACCTCTTTTAATTCTGGAAGATGAAAGAAAAGCTTAGTAATGTAAAACTAATGCTGATGTGCAAGGGAAAGCAACAAATGATTGATTATGCAAGTCTGTAAGAGGAAGTGTTTTTGCAGCTATTCCTAGCTCAGTAAATCAAAAATAGCTTGCCAGATGTGACTCTCAGTTTTCCATAAAATTTATGATTTTCTATATACATTTAAAAAGCAAAGAAAGAATTTTATAGATAGTAAAAACCTCCAAAAATTAGACCAGCCATTTTTCCTTATTTCCTTCTTTCTTTTCTTCCTTCTTTACTATCTATCTTTATATTTGTGTAAAACAAACTTGAGTTTGGACATTTAACTAAGTTGGGCAACTTTTCAATTGCTGAACAAACAGACTTCAATATTGCAAGGATTTGCAATGCTGATTCAATAACAATAAAGAGTTGAACTTGGTGAATTTGGAGGTCCCTTTCAATTCCATGGTCCTATAATTTTGTTAATGCAGTTTTAGGGTGCAGAGAACAGCACCTGAGAGTGTTGGCATGCTGAATGCTTTGAATTAAAAGAAATCAGAAGGCCATAAATGCTGCCTCAGAAACAAAAACTTTCTAAACTTTTATTTTTTCTTTCCCACCCAAGAGCAGGAAGGAATGCTCTCTGGATATATATATCTCTGGATATATATATATATATGTGTGTGTCTGTGTGTATGTATGTATGTGTATATATGTATATATATACACATACATACATATATATACACACACATATATATATCTCCACATACACATATATAATTTATATAATTTTTTTTTGAGACAAGGTCTTCCTCTGCCACTCAGGCTGGACTGCAATGGTGTAATCACAGCTCATGGCAGCCTTGACCTACCAGGCTCAAGTGATCCTCCTGCATCAGCCTCTTAAGTACCTGGAACTACAGGTGCATGCTACCATGACTGGCTTTTTTTTTTTTTTGTAGAGACAGGATCTCACTATGTTGCCCAGGATGGTCTCAAACTCCGAGGCACAAGTGATCCTCCCTTCTCGGCCTTCCAAAGTGCTAGATTACAGGCATAAGCTACCATGCCCAGCCTGGATTTTTTTTTTTATCTGACGAACACGCCTTGTTTGTAAAATAAATGTAATTGTCTGGAGACCCCCATCATAGGAATCTCATGAAATAAGTAGGAAAGATGAACTACTACAGAAAATAAATTAAAAACTGTCAGCAACTGCAAACAGACTTTTCATCTATTCTTCTAAGGGCAATTCTGATTATCTGGGAGTCTTTATTTGCATGAAAACACAAACTTTCTTCACAGTGAAGTCTACCCCTCACCTTCCCACCACCTGCCCCAGGGTGCAGAAGAACTTTGTTTCTGGCCATTCTTCTTTGGGCTTATTCATTTTATCTGAAAATTATTTACTACCCCTAAAATTACTGACAGACCCCCATTTCACTCTAAGATGGAAGAGGGGATTTAAGCCTCAACCATCTGGCCTTGGTTTGAGTATCATATTTGCAGGACTCCATGTCCATATATATGTAAATACATTTATATGACTTTTTCTCCTATTCATCTGTCTATTGTCAGTCATTCTAGTGAACCTTCAGAAAGGGTTAATGGGGCTGGACCTGGTGGCTCACACCTATAATCCCAGCACTTTGGGAGGCTGAGGCAGGTGGGTCACTTGAGCACAGGAGTTTGAAAAAAATAGCCAGGCATGAAGATATGTTATTATACTTCCAGCTACTCAGGAGGCTGAGGTGGGAGAATCACCTGAACCCAGGAGGTCGAAGCTGCAGTGATCCATGACTGTGACAATCCATTCTAGCCTGGGCAATGGGGTGAGACCCTGTCTCAAAAAACAAAAACAAACAAACAAACAATCAAAAAAAGAGAGTGAATGGGAAGCTTTTCCTCTGCACCTACATTTTTAATCACCACATGCTAAATATTCCATAAAACCTAAATTCCAATTTGAACTTGATGGCTCTCAGTATTAGCAAACTTTACTTTGCAGCTTATCTGTATTTTCAATATCCATATATTAATTAATTTTTATTTAGTCCCTCAGGTAATAGTTTCTTCCCCTCTACAGTGCCTTCTGCCCGGACGAAACTGTTTTGCTTCTGCCACAGGATTACGCACCTTCAAAATAATATTATAAGATGAGAATCACCCATAAAAGTATTTTAGTTCTTTACATTACTTTAAAAATCTACTCACCTGAGTCAGCATTTTAAGTACAGTCAATTTGCTTATGTTCTCATATATTATCTTCAGCTATATTTTAGTACAATGAGTTTCAAAACTGTGATGTTTGCAGAATTCATCTAGGGCATTGGTAAAAAGACAGGTTCTTAGGCAATCCAAAACATTTCTAGCCAATAGCTCTTAGGAAGAGTTGAAATGCCTAAATTTTCATTAAGGACCCTGTGTAATTATGATGCTGGTGATAGTATTGTCTCTGGAGCAAACTTTGAAAAATTTGGATCCTCACCGTTTATCCTTCATAAATCTTTTCATGCAGTAGAGTCAAGAATTTAACTTTAAATACCACAAAATATCAAATATCACAGTGATAGTTGTAAATTCAGACGTTTTTCTTGTGTGTGGTGACATGATACTCTTACCAGTGCAAACCCTTATTTCACCCCAAAATTATATATTGAAATTCACATTGAGAAATTATATTTGAGTATTTATAAAATTGTTCATGATCTTATATAGTACACTATTCATTATTAAGGATTTAATTGATATGCTGGCTAATTATGATATTACATAATTACTAATTAATGTGCTTATTAGCAATGGATGTCTCTAAGATCCTGATGTCAACGGAGATGACAACTCATGCTGGAATACTGCCTTACAAGATAAAGTACATTAAGCCAAGCTCCTTTTGGCAATTCAGAATCTAAATGTTATTGCCTGGAATCCAGGATACAATTGCCTTATTATAGCAAACTCTGGCCTGTAGTAAATCCAATTAAAGCATATTTCTAGTTTACTTTAAGGCTTAATTGTAGTGCATTTAGTTATAAAGCTCAATACATCAAAGAATCAAAGTTCAAAACAATAAAACCAGAAGAAGGACAAAAAAAATGATAAAAAGGATAAAAATACAGCTCTTATTAGTAAAGATTAGACTAATACAATCTTCAAATTAGAAATCACCTTTGTGGTTGTCCAGTATCATCTGCTTTACAAAGAAAGAATTTCCTTTTTGTAGTCATCCATTTTCTAAACATGGCCAGAGGCAAGGAGGGATCTAATCCATGCTTCTCTTGAAGTAGTCTTATCTCCTGGTAGATAGCAGTAAACATTAGACCTATCTTCCTTATATTTAACCAAAGATGGCATTCCTATACTTTTCTAACTGGAATTGATCATGAAATAACTCTGTATCCTATCTCTTACGGCAGGAGGGGTAGAGGTGGGGATATGTGGAGTGGGCTGAACTAACATTAATATTTTATCTTGTGTACTAGATATTTGAAATGTATTGAGAATTTCTCTTTTTATTTGATTCTGTTTTATTTGATTCGACTATGAAGAAGATATCCACATCCACCCCCAGCCGTAATTTAGAGATACAGAGTCTATGACTTGGAGAAGTTAAACAGCCTGTTCATGGTCATAACTTACAGGGATGAGAGTCAGACTAGAACCTGGATCAATTTAATTAATCCTTTTAGTTAATCCTTTTAACTTCTTCAGTTACTAATGGATTGAGAGCTGTCAATCAGCCTTTACTTCTTTACATCTATTATATTGTTGGGGCTCATAAGATAATACCATAATGCTGAACACTTTTGAAATAAAATTCCCACCCACCCCTAAGAATCTCATTAAATAACCAGGAAATATTAACCTCCAGAGAAGACAAAAAACTAAAAGTCCTCACCATATCCAGGTAGACTTTTCATCTATTCTAAGACCAGCCCCAAGAGATTATCTGGGAGAGTTTATCTTCATAATAAGACCTTTGTTCACAGTGCAGTTCCACCCCTCATCTTTCCTATGACTTGCAGGTCCCATTCAGTCCAAAGAGAATAATTTACAAACTATTGTCTGCTCTTTGGGCCCATTCATCTCTTTTAAAAATAATTTAATACTTCTCAAAAACGGCTTACATTCTCCAATCTCCCTTCCCCCATGAAGAGGGTTCTACTTAAGTTTCATTCATCTGGGCCTTCTTTGAGTCTCATCTTCTGTATTGCTCTTCTGCTTACGCACATTAATGCATTTGTATGTCTTTTCTTCTATTAAACCATCCATTGTCAGCTTATTTCACCAGGCTTCAGTCCTCAGAGTAGGAGGGAAAATTCTCTTTACCCTTAAATTGTACCATGCACTATTTTAAGTACTGAATATGTACTGGTGAACAAATCACATAGTTTCTAATTTCAAAACATTTATTCTCTAGTGGAATAAACAAATATAAACTATGTATAAAATATAGGTTAACAAAGATCATATAAATGCATCAGTGATAGATACTGTGAACGAAATAAAGAATGAATAAGTAGGGAAACATTTAGGTAGAACTCTCGAGGAGTTTTTTCACAGAAAGTAACATCTGAGCTGGGGCCTCAGGGAGGAAGTTGGCGGGAGGAAGGAGTAAGAACATTCCAAGAACAATTTCAAATGTGAAACTTTATTTCAAAGTTTGAAAGCTGGTAAAAACCATGCTCAAGGAATTGAAACACCACCAATGTGGCTGAAACAAAGCGCCTAAAGGGGAGAGTGGCTAGGAAGGCAGGCTTCCTAAATCAAGGAATTATCTACCGCTCACTCTCCTCCCTACCACTTTTCTTAAACATTTCTCTACGGCAGTGATTACCAAGTAGCCCAATGCCTGACCTTCTGGGAGTCACACAGCCTTCTTCATCATAATCAACACTCATTCTCAGAATCTCAGTGCCGTAACTCTTCTGTTCTGGGCGATACCAAGTTCAATTTTAACGAAGCTCTTTTAGTTCCAAGAAACAGACACAGCCAGACCAGTCTGAAAATTTTTATTTTCTGAAAAATGTAACTTGTAAGAACACACGTAGAGCAAAAGGGAGAAACTTGGAAATTTTTACGCAAGTAAGCCAGGCTGAACCTCCTAATGCATGAGGACTGGGCTGGTCCTTGTTTCACAGGGTGGACTCTAGAGTCGTCCTTGCATCCCAGAATTTGAGACCTAATCCATGATTAATCTTGAAACTGCTCCAGTGTGTTTGAGAGAACAGGCATTCTCTAACTGACGCAAAGTTGTATGTATGTCCATTTATATTAAGCTTAATTATATTGCCCCAAATTTTCTATAACTTTCCTAATTTTCTGTATTGTACTTATCAATATTTAGGAGAGAGATTTATTGAAGTCTCTCATTCCAATGGTAGATGTGTCAATTTTCCAATTTAATTTGTATTAATGTTTGCTTTATATCATATGAACCCATTTTATTATTTGGAGATATTTAGAATTGTTATAGCTTTACAGTAAGTTAAATGTTTTTATAATCTAATAACTTTCTTTCCAATATCGATTTTATTTAAAAATTGAAATATGTAATATTAATATTCCTATGCAAGTCAGTGTTTGATTAGTATTTCTGTATAGTATCATTTTCCTCTATAATTTTCTTTTTAATCTTTCCATGTGTTTATATTGAAGGTTTGTATTTTGTTAATATTGTTAGTTTTTATTTTTTAAATCTAAGAATCTCTGTTGTTTAACTGGCAAGTTTATATTTATTACCATTATTGATATATTTTTCTCTATTTAAAATGATTTAACAGAACCCAAAATCTTAAACTAGTTTTAATGTAGGTATCATTGATTGCTAATGGGGAGAAAAGAGAGGTATATTCATAGCTTTGTGTTTTCTGATAACTCTTTAAATTAATATAATTATTAAATTTATTCAACCTTTTTTTTTTGGTGACAGCCTGTCACCCAGACTGGAGTGCAGTGTTGCAATCACAGCTCAACCTCTCAGGCTCAAGTGATCAACCCAAAGTAGCTGGGACCACAGGTGTGCACCACCATGTCCTGCTAATGTTTTTTTCTTAATTATTTTGGTGGAGCCAGAGTCTCATCATGTTGCTCAGTCTGATCTCAAATTCTTGGGCTCAAGGAATCCACCCCCTGCCTGGCCTCCCAAATTGTTGGGATTATAGGTATGAGCCACTGCATCTGGCTTATTCAATCTATTTTTAAGTTCACCTTTGTCTACTTAATAAAGCGATTAGTGTTTTCAAATAATTTTTGTTTCACTTAATTTATTGTAATTTTTAGTCTATGAAAAACATTGAACTATGCTCTGGGGCTATAAAGGGGAAAAATGCAATGTCATTTCGCTCAAAGAGAAAAGAGATGTTTGTATTCTAATAATACTTATAATTTATATACAAACAGTATTTATAAATCAATGGGCCATTATTATAAGGTAGTTTCTCTAAGTACTTTTACATTTACTCTTTAGAGAGTTTTAGCTGCAGTGCCTTTAAAGTGGCGATTTGATTTCATTAATTTTACATAAATAATGATGTATTTCAGGGATTTTTTTAATGCAAAGTTCTCTGATAGCATAATCACTATAATCTCAATAGACAGTGGGCTGGCTGCTTGACACATGGTGTTAAACATGACAGGTACACTCTATGTTCTCATACAGCTGAGAGAGTTGGACAAAAGATTCCAGATCAACAAATAACTGTAGGAGTATAGTGAAACTATGGGAACATGTGACACAAATCATTTACCTAGTTTGAAGTTTAGGGAAAGCTTTCTGAAGGAGCTGCTAAGTAGACTCAGGTCTAAATAATGAAAAGAAGTTAATTTAATAAAAATTGGGGAGGAAGAGCATTCTAGGCAAGGACACTAGGCTATGTGAAGACTGGAGAATGCAAAGACCATGGGAAATTTGAAGTAATAAATAGAGCCCAGTGAAGAGAAAGATGGGGACAAGCTAAAATGGGTGAGGTAGACAACAGAGAAATCATGCAGGGCCAATCAGAATCCACGAAGGATTTTACATCGAAACTATTTCTCCATTTTTAGGGCGCTACTTATTTTCTAGGGCTAATGCAAATGTAAAGATGAAGAATCCTGGTAATTCATATACACTGTTTTTGACCCAGCCAGAAAAATAATCAGCCTACGGAAGGAGCTGGCCCCCTTGAGTCAGGCACAGTGGGTGATGGTTAATAGCTATGTCTTCCTCGTGGAACACTGGGGTTCTCATTTATTTGAAAGACACAAAATGATTCTCACATACAGATACTACTATCTGGCTACATAAGTTCTCCCCCACTGCATAGATGCTTTCTTGGCCTCTGAGATGTTTGCCTTAATGAACTGCTGTTCTTTCAACAGTTCTGGTTTCCCAGCAATTATTTCACCCAACAATTGGCTCTTAAAGTTCAATAATTCTCCTTTCCACAGCATGTGTTTGAGAAGCAAAACACACTCTCACACTACGCTCTGACACTGTATCTTTCTAGCAACATCGTACCAGGCAGCAATCTCGGTCAGCACATATGTTAGACACTTGTTTGGCAGCAGGGAACAGCATTGTTATATGCTGAACAGTCACTTGACTTGGCATGCATTTCTCAGCACATAACACCCTTCTAATGTCTTTTGGCTTGCCAATATGCCTACTAGAATTCAAGTTTTATCAGTTACTCAAAATATTATGCATTCATGGTTATTTCACAATAACCATGAAAATCAAGGAATTCATTTTGATATGTAAAATTCCACTTAATGTGAATAGAGACAGTGACTTTATTTGGAGATAGGTTCTTGCAGATATAGTTAGTTAAGTCATATGGCAGCATGATAGGCCCCTAATCCAATATGATTGTTATCTGGTGTCTATATAAAGGGGAAACTTGGAGACAGACACACAGAGAGAGAAGATTATGTGATGAGACTCAGGGAAGACAGCCATCTACAAGCCAAAGAGAGAGGCCTTGAATTCATCCTTTTCCTAAAGTCTGCAGGACAAACTAACACTGCCACCACCATGATTTTGGATTTCTAACCTCTAGCACTGTGAAAAAATAAATTTCTGTTGGTTAAGCCATGAGTTTGTGATACTTTGTTATATTAGTCCTAGCAAATTGATACAGCAGTATTGTGGTTTCCATTTCTAAATTCACGGTGACAATCTTTCCTACAGGTATCCAATGATTCATACAATCTGAATCTCTCATTTCAGAAAAATAATCTATGGGCTGTTAATTTATACCAAACTATAAGCTATTTTAGGAAATGTTGCATTTTTAAAAGATCACCTGGAAAGCATTATTTTTAAGAATTGTCAGTATCAGTGAATTGTTGTGGTAATTTTCTTGGAAGAGGGATACCTGATATTCCTCAATCAATTCAAGTCACAATGTATGGTTAATACTGAGGTTTAGTTCAGGACTTCAGTTGAAGGAATATTTCAGGGCGAAGACTGCGGGGCAAAGCAATCTCTTTTTGATACATAATTGGTGCCAGTATATTTACATAAACATGTCCAGTTGGAACAGACTTGGGAACAAATTAATTCCAACCAAAAAAAAAAAACAATTTGTCACTAATTGTAAAAACAATTGACAGAAAGATTGTACAGCCTGCTGCTCTCATATAAACAGTGAAATTACCTTAGCTGTGACAAGTAAACAATGAGAAAACAGTAGCTCTAATTAGCATTTTGACATCTATGCATTATGGAAAACTCTGAGAATAATATAATGCTTTAATAAGGTATATTTTGGATTACTCGTACTTGAAGTTATCAAGCAGTATTTTTGTGTCTAATAGCTTCATTGCCATAGTCACATTAATTTATTGGAAAGAGTCAAAATACATATACCAGATTAATAGCACATCACAGGATTTTGAAAATATCTTCTAACCAGCAACTAAGAAGCATACACATATACTTCTGATTTTTGCATGAACACCTACGCAGATAGAGATTCCACAGTGGCTCTTAGTAACCAATGCTGATGTTAGTAAATTTGAAGTTCAACCATCAGAAACCTCATGGATCTTATATCCTACTTTCCTTTCTTCTTGTCCCTGCAGGGTGGAAACAACTAACAAAATGTAAACGCAAAATAATCATTATTGGACAGAATATTAAAAACAAAATCTCAGGCTTTAACCTTCTATTATAAAATAAAAATGACTAATTCTTTTATTCAACACTTATGTAGTGAGGGCTAAAAGGGGTCAGGCACTATTCTAAGTGCTGGAGATATAGAGGTAAAGAGACAAAGTCCTTCAGCTTCTCTTAGTGACACATGTTCTAGTGAGAGACAAAGGCAATATAGAAAAAAAAAGTAAAAAAAAAAACCTTTAGGTAATAATGAGATCTCTGAAGAAAAATATTGTGAGGGAATGGAAAGGAAGGGAGTTGGGTTTGGGATGGCGAGTAATTGAGAGTTAGTATGGTCAGCAAAGTTCTCTGAGTAGGTATATGAATGATGTGATGTAACACACCACACGCAGTTCTATGCAAAGCATTTCCCAGATGGAGGGAATATTAAATATAAAGTCTCTAAGGCAGAAAATGCTTAGGTCTTAGAAGATAAACAAGAAGTCCAGTGTATGGCTGGAGAAAAATAATTAAGAGGGAGAGTGTCAGGGGAGGAGATCAGAGACATGGACAGGGATCAGAGCATGTATCTCAGCCCCACTGGTATATTCAGCTTAATCATCATATTTAATTAAAAACTAGAATAAGAGTATAATGTATGTAATACATGCTGCTATGGTTTGAATGTTTCCTCCAAAATTCATGTTGAAACTTAATCCCTAAATGTAGAAAGATATGGAAAGGTGGCAGTATTGAAACGTGGGGCCTTTAAGAGGTGATTGGATCATCAGGGTTTTGCCCTCATGAATGGATTAATCCACTCGTAGATTAATGGATTAAACGGTTAATAGGTTAAAGCATTATTATGGGAGTGGAGCTGAAGGCTTTATAAAAAGAGAAAAAGAGACCTGAGCTGGCACATTAGCTCCCACAGCACATGATATTCTGTGTAGCCTCTGGACACTGTAGAGTCCCCTTCAGCAAGAAGGCTCCCATCAGAGGCAGCTTCTTGACCTTGGACTTCTCAGTCTCCGTAATTGTACAAAATAAATTTCGTTTTAAAATAAATTATTCAGTTTCAGATATTCTGTTATAAGCAACAATAAAAACGGATTAAGACATATGCTTATCAAATGTTAACATTGAAAAATATAGGAAAGATCTCTATTCTCTAAAGGACAGAATAACAAATCAATATGAGTTAATGGAAAATTTCCTATAGCATAAACTCAATGGAGCCACTAACTGTATACTGGTGGGAAGTAGCTCAGTTAATATACACAGGCCTTATTCTCTCTATCCCTGAAAAAAGGGGGGATTGGATTATATTATTGTACATTTTTTCAGCTTTGAGAATTGAAGAATTTAGATAATTTTCCTTTTGTAGATTGAAGCAATAGCTTAAATTCAGTAAGATGAAATATAGTAGGAACAAATAGAACCATATTTGTCTTTAAAATTTTAAATTATATGTCAGAAGAAAGAGTCTAGAAATCCTTGAAAATCTCTAGGAAGTTGCAACTAATTTTAGGTTTCAGAAAAATAACATGATCATAAAGGAAAAAATAATATCATAAAAATCTAGCACACTTTGATTTAAGGCTATAAGGCTCAATTTATATCTAATTTTAACATTCTCTAATCCAGTGATTTTTTTATGACATTTCCAAATATTTTATTTATTATATTGCATCCTGGACCTATTCTGTTTTTTCTTTTGAGATAAAATTCACATACTATAAAATTTAACCTTTAAAGTACAAAATTCAGTGGCTTCAGTATATTTACAAGGTTGTTAAACATAACCACTATTTTATTCCAGAACATTTTTATCAATCCCAAAAGAAACATTGTGCCCATTAGCAGTCAGTCATCTTTTCCCTCACCATCCTCCCTAGGCAAACATTAATCTGTGTTCTATCTCTGTGAATACGCCTCTTCTGAATATTTTCTATAAATTGAATCATATAATATGTGGCCTCTTTGACTTAGTGCGATGTTTTCAAGGTTAATCCATGTTGTAGTACATATCAGTGCTTCTTCCTATTCAGGCATGAATAATGTCCCACTTTATGGATATGCCACATTTTATTTACCATTTGCCAGTTGATAGACATTTAGGTTGTTTCCACTTTTTGGCTGTCATAGATAATTCTACGAACATTTATACACAAAGTTTTGTGTAAACATATATTTTTTAGGAGTAGAATTGCTGTACCTTACGGTAACTCTTGTTAAACTTTTTGAGGAACTACCAAACTGTTTTCCAACACAGCTGTATCATTTTAAATTCCTTCCAACTAGCAAATGTATGAGACTTCCCATGTCTCCATGTTCTTGCTCCACCCTCTAACGTATTTTTGGATTAATCAATAGATATGCTTTGGAAGAGATGAAATATTGAATTTTATTTTTAAGATCATAGGATAATGAAATTCAAATTTAGAGAAATTTAAACTATTTTACAAACAAACACTTTACTGCAGCTGTTTACAAAATTAGTCTCTGTTAAGATAAATGCAAAATAGCAAGCCATGTGGATGCTATTATTGACTCTTACCATATTTGCTTAATCTGCAATATGCTCAGAATTACTCTGTGTATCTCTTCATGATTCAGGGTCATCCTATATGTCTAATAGTCTGTCCCAGAGAAAAAAAAATGTATAGATAATGCCTATGACATCTCAAAGTGAATATCAGCAGGGCATGACTGCTGGGTAATAAAAAGATGAAACAGATAAAGATTGGGGCATATTGCTAGATTAGTGTAGGACAGAATAAGTAAATTAGGCTTGGCTGACAATAGACAGCCAACCCAAGTTGGAGTATTCTAATCCCAAATTAATTTCTCAGGTATATGATCAATATCAGGAAGCCAAAAGGTATCAAGATGCTCCAAAAGGACTGTAATGATTTGTGAGAAGGCAATCAGAAGATATTCAGAATTTCAGAAAGATTGTTTTTTGGCAAAATTTGAAAAATAAGTAAATAGCTCCCTGCCCCGGGATGAGAATTTCTGGCAGTGTTTTATTTCCTAAGACCTGGCAAAATTGTCATTGTCTTAGGATAGGTGTGAAATACTAAGGAAGTTACAAGAAAAAGCATGTGTAAAAGGATCCCAAACCAAAGCTAAACAATAAGAATTATGGCATAATGTGTGAACATAAGCTAATCTTAGGCATAGAGACCTCATTATCTGAATAAGAGCATCAATATGAAAAGCATGACCTAGCAGTCGTTGGTGAGCAATGGCTTTGCTCCAGGTTAGAGGGAAGCAGATTAAAAGCCCTGAAACTCAGGGCTGAGTCCTGAGGCCTGGGGTATCACTGGTTGGTCTGATAGGGGGTAGGGGGTTGACCCAGGAAAAACCGTTTGTCTGTAGTAGACTTGAAAGTGTCATTCTACTTGCATTCTATATATGTGGGAAAGTCACTTAAATCTAAGTCTTACTGAGTTTAAAGTTACTTTAGTTCTTTTTTTTTTTTTTTTTTTTTTTTTTTGAGATGGAGTCTCGCTCTGTCGCCCAGGCTGGAGTGCAATGGCTTAATCTCGGCTCACTGCAACTTCCACCTCCCGGGTTCAAGTGATTCTCCCACCTCAGCCTCTTGAGTAGCTGGGATTGCAGGCACCTGCCATCATGCTCAGCTAATTTTTGTATTTTTGGAGAGATGGGATTTCACCATGTTGGCCAGGCTTTAGTTCTTTTCTCTAGTTTGCTGTATTCTGGAAATAGGAGAAACATTAAAACTCTGACTGAGAGAGTAGGGTTTAATCCTTGATAGAAGTAAAGCAGAGGTAGGGGAAAATAAGGAAAGGGCTGCTAATATCTCCAGGGTATTACATTTAAAGTGAAAACAAGATTATGGGCATGTCATGGGAGATGCATTTTATCTCATCCTTGTTTATTTCTATTTTTTCACCTCCTTATCACCACAACCAGACACCCACATCCATTTGTTAACCACGATGGTCTTATTATTTCATTCTTGTTAATGTCTTATACCTGTCTCCTCTATTTTCCACCTTCAGTGCTTCAGCACCTATTATTTTTTTATTTATAGCAACTCCGCAGATTTCAAAGTCACCTCTCTAATACCAGATTTCCCAGTCCATCCCACTCTCTCTTCTCATCAATTTCTGCCACACTGCCTGAAAGATATTATAACACCCCAAACTGTTCCCATTATTTCCATGATAAAAATCCTTCAGAAGTTCTACATCATTTGAAGGATAAATTCCAAAACTCATAAGCATTATGTCTAGATTTGACCCCAATCAGCTTTCAGCCTCATCACATGAGGAGCCTTTTTTCATTCCATATTCTTGCTACACCAAACTAATTAAAAGTTGCCTAAAATAAGAAAATTATTTTGCTAGATGCTGAGTATTTGCATTTGCTGTTTCTGTTTCTTAGAAAGATTTTGCCTCCTGATCCTTTATCACTGTTAACTTTTAAGAGCTTTCCACTGTTATACAGAACATATCACAGCATATTATAATTTCCCTTTGTCTTTTTGGTTTAATTGCATCAATATCACTGTCACCTCTAGGATGTGAGCTCCATGGAAGAATAAATTGTATCTTATCTATATTTATTTAAATATATATGTGCTTGCCCCTTAGTGAGTGTTCAATAACTCTTTGAATGAGGTAAGCATGTATACTCCAATGTATATACAATGAAGATTTAGATTTAGAGCTTTCTTTTAGGAATGTGGATCTTTAGAACCTGTACGATCGAATTGCATGACATCATTTAGCATGACATGTTAGTAAGCCTTCTGTGCTTTAGTTTTCTCATATGTCAAATGGGTTTAATAAATATAACTGCCACATTAGATTAATTTAAGAATTAAATGAAATGAGATAAATCATGCAAAGGCCTGATAAAATGTCTGACACACAGTGAACAGGCAACAAATAATTTTGATGATAGTAATGATGGTGATGATGATTATGGCTATGTGTGTGATGGTGATGTTGAGGTGTGCCATTTGAATAAACTAGCCCTGCATTTTTGTGTCTTTTAGGGAGCTATGGAAAGGGGAAATGGATCTAATATGTATTGAATTCTATTACTTTCCTGATTTTATTTCACTTAATTCATACAACCCATTTCCATTAGTAAAGAAGTTAAGGCTTAAACAGGGAAAAACCATGTGTCTAGTTCACACAGTTTCAAAGTATATGCACATTAGTTGCCAGACATTCTGTTTATAGGACTCTAAGATAAATTATCTTGGGTTATTCCTTTGATTATGATAACAGCTGCTTTGGGCAACTAAGGATGATAAATTTTTATACTTTATAATAAAAATTGTGAAAATATTGCCTCAGCCTAAGCTCTCACAAGGACCTGATCCAAACCCAAGAACATTTTAAACAAAAAAGGGTAATTCCTTTGCTTCTAGTTCTTGGAACTCTGCGGTGTAATGATAGGAACTTGAGGTTTGGAACAAGATAAATGAAGTGTTCCTGTTCTACTTTCCTTTTTAGAAAACACCTAAGTAAAACCATTCTTGAAAGGACACATGAACAAATTGAACCAGTCAGAGGGGAAAGATCAGGATGATGAAGTGACTCAGAAATCAGGTAATATTAAAAACAGTTGGAAGAAACAAGGAGAAAGTAGACTCAAAGAACAAAATAGTGGTTTACTTTAAATATTTGATATTCTGTTTTATGGAACTATGTTTCCCTATATGTCTAAAATAGGCAGAATTGGGACCATTGGTATAAAGCACACTGTATTTTTATAATATTTGTACAAATTTATGTTCTGCACAAGCTTCCTTTTGTATATGTACTAATTTGTGATGTATTTGTACAGTGTTTGGCCTCAATACAAGAAAATATTATCTAATAAAGAAAATTGTAATGAAAAGAGATAGTTTGTGAAAAACTGAGTTCCTAGTCTATGGAATTGATTTCAAAGGGAATATATTTTAATTCATGATATTGAAGATGCCTTCTAAACATGATAATCTATAAATATGGGCTAGTTTCTGGAGAATGTATGATATTCCCAGCAGCATCAACCTCATTTGCCTCTTCTACCATCTTATCCTGGATAGATTTAGTAATTATTTTGTGCACCTACTGGGAAAATACCAGTCTCTGCGTCTGTTATATGGCCACATGATACTGTAGAAAGATCATGAACTTGGAGTTAGACAGACTTGAGTTTCCAATCTTGAATTTTTCCACTTACTATTCTGAGGACATTATACAGTTTCCCCAGGCCTCAGCACTTTTTGTCTCCAAAATAGGAATACCATTTATTTGGTAGCAGGATTTAGTAAAGTGGTATGTGAAATGCCTACCACATGGCAGTAATCAACAAATAAAAACATCAGTACCATCTGATGAACAATATTGACATGGATGATTGCCAAGGAAAAATATTTACTTAATTTTTCAGTAAAGTTTTCATTAAAGCATAGCATATACACAAACATGCACTCAAAATATAATAGGTTGACTGGATACATTTTCTTAAAGTAAATAGTCTTTTTTCTTGAAACAAATACATTTTATCCTGCCTGCAGAGTATAATACCCAATTTAAGAGAGAAAATAAACACCCATTATTGAGCATGCAATATCAAAGCAGCTGAGTTTGATTGGAGTACACTATGTTTTTACATTATTTCAGTACGATACAAATACAAAATGGGCAAATTATATGTGAATATATTTATGAATTTTGGTCAGAGTAAACTTGTAACTAGCATCCAAATAGAAAATTACGCCAGAATCTCTCTTATACTTCCTCTTAGAATCTAACCACAAATTTATTCATGGTATGGCGGAGAGCAGATTTTTTTATATATATTCATTTTTTTGCATAGAAAGCAGTGCGTGTCCACCTAATTATGCATCAGAATTATCTGGAAGTTTTGCTAAACAGAGAAATCTAGAGGACCCCCCTCCAGACTCTCCAAACCAGAATCTCCAAACCAGTAGATCTGGAGTGGGCCCATCAATTTGCAATTCTAACAGGTTCTCAGGTAGTACTGATGCTGCTGGCCCAGGGACCACACTTTGAAGATCATTAGTCTGTAGCATTTCATTTCATGACTGCGCAACAGTTATTTATCCATTATTCTCATGATGGAAATTTAAGGTATTATGGATAATACAGACCTTATCATTTTTATACATGTGCTTGGATGGGTAGATACTTGAATAGATAAAGAAATAAAAATTACAGGGTTATGGTTTATGCATATATTTGTACATAATTCATATTGTGCAAAAGTTCAAGAGTGGTAATACTAACTTGTATTTTCACCTATAAAAGAGAGGCCTTGGTTATCTTCCAGAGTTTTTATAGTTTTAGGTTTTACATTTAAGTCTTTAATCCATCTTGAATATGTGGTATAAGGAAGGGTTCCAGTTTCAATCTTCTGCATATGGCTTGCCAGTTATCCCAGTACCATTTATTGAATAGGGAGTCCTTTCCTCATTGCTTGTTTTGCCAGCTTTGTCAAAGATCATACGGATATTTGCCAATGTCCATGATGAACACAGATGCAAAAATCCTCAACAAAATACTAGCAAATTGAATTCAGCAGCACATCAAAAAGCTAATTCATCATGATCAAGTAGGCTTTATCTCAGGGAGGCTAGGTTGCTTCAACATATTAAAACCAATAAATGTGATTCATCACATAAGGGGAACTAAAAACAAAACCACATGATTATTTCAATGGATGCAGAAAAATCTTTTGATAAAGTTAAACACGTCTTCATATTAAAAACCCTCAACGCACTAGGCATTGAAGGAACACACTTTAAAATAGTAAGAGCCATCTATGAGGAACCCACAGCCAACATCATACTGAATGAGCAAAAGCATTAACCTTGAAAACTGGAATAATACAGGAATGCCCTCTCTCATCATTCTTGATCAACATAGTACTGGAAGTCCTAGCTAGAGTGATCAGGCAAGAGAAAGAAATAAAAGGCAGTCAAATAGGAAGACAGAAAGTCAAACTATCTATGTTTGTAGACCGTATGATTCTATATGTAGAAAACACCATATTCTCTGCTCAAAAGTTCCTTGATCTGATAAACAACTTCAGCAAAGTTACAGGATACAAAATCAATGAACAAAAATCCATAGCATTCCTATACACCAACAACATCCAAGCTGAGAGCCAAATCAGGAATGTGATCCCATTCATAATTGCCACAAAAATAATAAAATACCTAGAAATACAGATAATCAAGGAAGTGAAAGATTTCTACAATAAGAATTAAAAACAACACTGTTCAGAGAAACCAGAGATGATGCAAACAAATGGAAAAACATTCCATGCTCGTGGAGAGGAAGATTCAATATCATTAAAATGGCCATACTGCCCAAAGCAGTTTACAGAGTCAATGCTATTCCTATCAAACTACAATGACATTCTCTTTATAATTTGAAAAAAAACTATTCTAAAGTTTATATGAAACAAAAATAAGATAAAAGCTCAAATAACCAATGCAATCCTAAGCAAAAAGAACAAAGCTATAGGCATCACCTGGCTTCAGACTACACTACAAGACTACAGTAACCAAAACAGTATGGTACTAGTACAGAAACAGACACATAGACCAGTGGAGCAGAATAGAGAGCCCAGAAATAATGCCACATACCTTCAACCATCTGATCTTCGACAAAGTTTACAAAAACAAGCAATGGGGAAAGAACTCCCTGTTCAATAAATAGTGCTGGGATAACTGGCTAGTCATTTGCAGAAGATTGAAACTTGGCCCCTTCCTTACACAGTATACAAAAATCAACACAAGGTGGATTAAAGACTGAAATGTAAAATCTAAAACTATAAAAACCCTGAAGATAACCTAGGAAATACCATTTTGGACATATGACTGGTCAAAGATTTTATGATGAAGATGTCAAAAGCAATTACAACGAAAAATTGACAAATGGGTCCTAATTAAACTAAAGAGCTTCTGTTCAGCAAAATATCGACCAAGTAAACAGACAACCTACGTAATGGGAGAAAATACTTACAAACTATGTATCCTACAGAGGTCTAATGTTCAGCACCTTTAAGCAACTTAAACAAATTTATAAGCAAAAAACAACCAATCCCCTTACAAAGTGGGTAAAGGACATGAACAGACACTGTTCAAAAAAAGACATTTAGGTGGCTAACAATCATAGGAAAAAAAGGTCAACATCACTAATCATTAGAGAAATAAATGCAAATAAAATCCATGAGATACCATCTCACAGCAGTCGGAATGGCTATTATTAAAAAGTAAAAAAATAACAGATGCTGGTGAGGCTGCAGAGAAAAGAAAACATAACACTACTGGTGGGAATATAAATTAGTTCAGCCATTGTGGAAAGCAGTTTGGAGATTTCTGAAAGAACTTAAGATACAATTACCATTCAATGTAGCAATCTCATTACTGGATATATATCCAGTGGAATATAAGTCATTCTACCATAAAGACACTTGCACACATATGTTCATTGCAGCACTGTTCACAATAGTGAAGACATGGAATCTACCTAACTGCCCATCAGTGCTAGACTGCATAAAGAAACATATGCACCATTGAATACTACACAGCCATAAAAAATAATGAGATCACATCCTTTGCAGCAACATGGAGAGAATTGGAGGCCATTATCCTAAGTGAACTAACACAGGAACAGAAAACCAAATACTGCATGTTCTCACTTATAAGTGGAAGCTAATTATCTAGTACATGTGGACAAAAAGAAGAGAATATAGACACCAGGGCCCACAAGAGGGGGAAATTGGGAGGAAGGTGAGGATCCAAAAACTACCTATTGGGTAATATGCTTATTAATACCTATTGGGTAATATGCTTATTACTACCTGTTGGGTACTATGTTTATTGCCGGGGTTACAAAATAATCTGTACACCACATCCCCACAACATGCAATTTACCCATATAACAAATCTGCACATGTGCCCTGAAGCTCAAGATAAAAGTAAAAAAAAAAAAAGGGCTAATGTTTAACAGCAACAACAACAAAAAAAAGGCTAGATGCTTTACATATGTAATAACTTTTTCATTTTTTAAAGAAATGGCACTAAATATGTAATGGTGTCTCATTGTGATTTTAACTTGCATTTTTCTGATAACTAAATATTGAACATATCTTCACATGCTTCATTTGAATATTCTCTTTTGAAGTACATTTTCAAGACATTTATTCAATTTTTTCCTGATTTACATTTTTTCCTGCTAGATTGCCCCATATAGACAGTCCCTATTTCCAGAAAATAGACCAAAAACTCCTATAAATTATATTAATGATTATATGTATAATTATATATTATATTAATATTTATATATAATTATATATTATATTAATAACTTATGGAGGTTTAGTCTATTTTATATTATATACAATTATATAGATTATATTAATATATGGGAGTTTTTGGTCTATTTTCTGGATATAGGGACTGTCTGTATGGGGTATCTAGCAGATGAGGACAGCAAATGGTATCACAGATATGTTCATTGTCCAGAGAAAGAGAATAAGCACCAGAATTGGTCTCAAAACTCTAGGGTGAGGGAAAAATATATGAAGGTTCTCCCAAGTCTTAAGGACACTTATGGAATTAAGGGACATTGCAGCTACAATCTGTGAATGTCTAAGCCCAGACGGGAGGACAAACATTTCCACAGATACCTGTAAGTGTAAATGACCTGAAGGTATAACACCCCCTTCTCCAACACCTCAGGCTGTGTAACACAATTTAACCACAGGCAGAGGAAAGTGAACACAGAAGCTGACCATTGAATTGTCCACACACGACAAAATAAGCCCTCCAAATGTGCTTATTCCTGTTCTTGTCCTCTCACTTGAATTTATGGATAAAAGATGTAGAGATTGTGGATGATCTCATTCATGAAAGATTTCATTTCCATAATTTTAATTATATTTAAAAATTGAAATTTTAACATTTATTAGAATTTATATCATTTTATTGCTTCTTTCCCAAATTGTAATCTGTATAATGGCTTAAATCAAATACCAGGGCTGGGACGGTTACAGTGCTAAGAAGCAAATATAGCTGCTAGTTTTGGGTGTCTTAGTCACCAACAGTCTTGTGACTACATATGAGTACATTGCACAGGATGGGAAAAAATAGGATTTCTCCAACTTGAAGCAAGACATGCCATAAGCATTTGACCGTTAAGTGTTGCATATCTGTTAGGGAAATGCTAGAAGAAAGAAAATGATACCTACATCATCCTTTTTAAACCAGGGCCCTCAGGACTGTGCATGTCTGACACAAAACCATACCCTGTGTCCATAGTATTGATTTTAGATTGTGGTAAATAAAGCATAGCAGTAAAGCCCAGAAAATTAATTCATGAAATGACTAAATGCTTCCCCTAAAACTGGTGACATTTAGAAGTATTTTTGATTGAAAAGTTTTAAATCTCCATAAAACCAATGCTAGATTAAAATGCAAGCCATGCTCTATGACTAACCTTAAGTGACACCCTTGTCTTTTTATTTCCTACAGGGTTGTAATGTTCTTCAGCTCTCACAGTGATTAATGAATGAAAGAATTACAAAACAGAATAAAATCAGTTAATTACTAATGCTCTAAATTGAAATTCATATTTAAATTGCAGTTCAATTTTTGTAATGAAGGAATACAAAGCATGCAATATTTTTTCATTGTATAAAACTTATAGAGATGCCATAGTACATTTAATGTAATTTTATAAAAAGAAATTTGAATCAAGAATTATTCAACCATATTTATGGAAGTAAAACAGTGCTATAGAGAAGCTGTTTCTATGTTTTCCGTTATTTTGATGATATAATTATCTTTTAGCTGTTTCAAAAAGATAATCAATGAAACTGAAATACTAACAAATTATCCAAAGTAAAAATTTCTGCATGTAATATCACCTTAGATACAGATAAACATAAGACGGAAAAGACTTTTTCCATCTTTTGAATATATTTATACTTTTTTTCTGAAACATTAAATTCTTCTTTAAAAAATTATAAAATGCTAAAGTATAGAAATGTATAGAGAGTAGTATCATAAAATATCCATGTATTCACAAGCTGATCTGTTACATTTACTTCAGATACATCATTTTTTAAAAATGAAACAATACAGGTACCCCGTGCATGGTCGCTCATACCTGTAATCCCAACACTTTAGGATGCCAAGGCAGGAGGATCACTTGAGCCCAGGAGTTTACGACCAGCCTGAACAATATGGAGAAGGTCTCTTCTTTATCTGTATCATTTCTGCTGGTTTCTATGCCAATTGCCTTATCTCCTTCAATCTTTATCTTTAAAACTGGATTGGAAATTATATTTGAAAAAGTGTTTGTAGTAACAGTTTGCATACTAGGATAAAGCTTTCCTTTTTCCAGAAAGGATTTTATTTCTCTTATATTGTCACTTTATGGTACTGGCAATCTAGAACCACCTTAAGCTAAAATCAGAGTGAGAATTTCTGGGACAGTCAGAAACTTATTTTCCCATAGCTGGGAAATATCTGGCTTATATTTAGCGTCCGCTGTCTCCAGCATGCTGTCCTTCATAAGAGAAGTGGTTTGTGCTCTGTCCCTGCCAGTATCTAGACTGCAGCCATTGTTCCCAAGTCCTGAGAGCATGTCAAAAGTTCTGCTTAGTCTGTGCCAAATACCCCCAGGGAAAGAATTTCTAAATGCAGGGTTTATTCTCAGAATTTCAGAACTTCTCCCTTGACCTAATTTACTATTTTACTAGTACTCTGCCTTTGAGATAATTTTTTAATGTGTTTTGTCCTGCTGTGTTAGCTTTCTTCAGTGGTACTCATTAATCCAAGTTATGCTAATCCATATTGCTGTAATCAGAAGCCATTCCAGGTATAGAATCTGACGACCACCAATGTCTTTCCAAGTATTTCTTTCCCTGTACTCTTTATCTCACTGAAACTCTCATTAGACACATGTTAGAACCTCTCGTTCTTTCATCTGATGGATCTTTTAATCTCTTTTCTCTACCTTTTAGGCACTTTCCTGAGATGTGTCTTATAATTATCCAGGTTTCCTTTAGGTCGTTACTTATCAGCTGTTCAATTCATTAATGGAGAATCTGCTTTAAATTGTTGCATTTATTTTAATATTTAAACGGTTCTATTTGTAACTTATTCAAATTAGATGACCTTTTTTCTTCTAGGGTCGATTTTTTTTTTTTTTTTGAGTCAGAGTCTTGCTCTGTTGTCCACGCTGGAGTGCAGTGGTGTGATCTCAGCTCACTGCAACCTCCACCTCCTGGGTTCAAGTGACTGTCCTGCTCCAGCCTCCCAAGTAGCTGGGACTACAGGTGCCCACCACCATGCCCAGCTAATTTTTTTTTTTTTTTGTATTTTTAGTAGAGACAGGATTTCATCATGTTGGCCAGGCTGGTCTTTAACTCCTGACCTCAAGTGATCCACCTGCCTTGGCCTCCCAAAGTGCTGAGGTTACAGGCGTGAGCCACCTCGCCTTGCCCTAGTGTTGATTTTTACTCACCATGTTTTCCCTTCCATCTCTGACAACATTTTTCACATATTTTTTCCATAGTTTCTTCCAGATAAGTCTGTTGTTTTTGCTTCTCGATATCACGATTCTCTTGTTGGTTGTATTGTATGCCTTTCTCTCATACTGGTTTCCACATTGTTTAAGAATGTCTATAGAAAGCTCCTCTTTGGAGATAGTTGATTTTTATTATTCAGGGATTTTATGTATCTATGCTGTCGAAGTGGTCTAACACAATAATTGGAATTTTTTTCTGCTAGGGCTTTGCAGTGGTTCATTGGTCCTAGACCAATTTTTAGGTCAAATTCCTTACCTTGGGAGTCTGATATACATTGGTATACATGGGTTTGTTTGGAGTTATAATTCCTCACAGAAGATTGAATTTTCTGCACCAGAAGCCCCGGAAAAGTTACTTTTAAAAATACTCTTGGCTCTTTTCATGACTACACAGCCTCTTGAGGCCCTAGCTTGATGCAGTTCTGATTCTGTACTTGACCAAGCCCAAAGTCACATGTATTTTTTCCTGTGTGGCTGTTAAAACATCAGGCTCTATTCTTTGATCTTCAAGTCTGATACCAACCTTGACATTAGTCCATGTTTACTGAGATGGCTCTTATTTCTGCTTTATTCTGGCGCTTGGGATTTACCTTAACTTTGTATTATCTGAATCTGTATTATTATTTTTCCAGTGTCATATCTTCTCCAGCATCTTAATTTTTCTTTATGAGAGGCGGTTCTATGATAGCTTTATGAGCTATGTAGTAGAAAACAGAATACTGACAAGCGGGTTAACTTTTTCTCAATGTATTAATATTAAAAATAGGATAGAATATTAACTATTTTAATAAACTAGTTTCTGATTATGGTTGCAACATTAAGTAAATCGTTAATTCTTGGTAAATTCTTTTAACTTTTCATGCTTCTCATTAGGATCAAAGAATCATATGGTAACATATAAACCTGAGGACAGGATCCTAGCTCTGCTAAGTTGTTAGCTCTGAAGTCTTGGGAAAGTTTTCAAATTTTTCTGAGCTATAGCTTTTTCTAATATTAAATTTAAATATGTGAAATGCATATAAAATGTGATAAATGGAGAATACTGACATAAGTTATAGATATGTGAAAATTTAGAATATGCATATATATAGCATACAGTTTATGACTATAGAAATGTGAAAATAAATAACATACTAATAATTATACCTCCTATAAAAGATATATGTCCAAATATAAGCAAAACACATTGCCAATTTGATATAATAAAGTAGCTACAGCTAAAGAATTTTAATGACTAATCTTTAGAGTTTATTTCCCTACAAAAATACAACTGTGAAAGATTAAGCAATTTATAAACTTGAAAGGTTTACTGCTTTCCTACATTTTCATTTTTTGCCATTTATAGACGATTTTGATGTGAAAGAGTTAATTACACTGAATAGATCTGGATTAATACTTGAGAGTGATTTAAACACTAGCCAAGAACCTAACTTACATATAATAATAATAATAACATTTGGTTTTATAGAGACTAAGTTTTCAAATTTAATAAATATCTTTCCGACTATAGTTATATCCATTATATTATTGCATTTATTTTTATATTTGCTCTTTTATTTTCTTCATATAGTTTAAGAATATTCTTTCATAAAAGGAAATACAATTTGAGTAATAAATGCGTACCTTTATATTTTAAAATAGTTTTCTAATGTGATCTTAACAGAGTATTAGAAAAGACTCTTGCAATTTGTAACAATAAATATCATGTTAGATTCATTAGCAGAAAATTTTAATATGATATGATAAGAAAGGCTTGAGAGCAGAGAGGATTATTGAGTGTATTCTTAAAATTTTCCAGGCTGCAGTATTATTTTGAAAATTATATATAAATTTTGTTTATGTGGTTGTATCCAAGATACATTGTAGTTTCTTGAGAACAGACATATTCTCTACCAAAGTTTTCAGGGTGCTTAGAATAGTGTGTGGCATAGAGTAGCTCAGTAAATGTGTCTTATTTGTAGAGGGAAGGCATTATGAGGAGAATATTATTGCACTGTTTTAATTCTGAATAGGAATTATTCAAGGGTGATGTGTATGCGTGTTGGAGTGGAGAGGGTAGTATTCATGGCAGAGTGGTCACATGCTTAGGGCATATTCTGGGATGTGCATTTCAGTTGGTGTGGCTGGAACACAAGGTGCAAGGTAGGAAGGGCTTATGATATGTGAGGCTGGAGATATAAAACAGAATTTTAATAGCATATTAAAGACTATGCTTTTAATCTTGCAAGGAAAAGGGAGCCACGGATAGGATTATTCTGGCAGCTCATAGAGGAAAACAGAACTAGGAACAAGAAAAGTAGGATGTGTGTGATGTTAACTAAAAAATAAAAATAAAAAGGGCATAGAGTAAGTACTATTTACTCCAGTAATCAGGAAAGACTGTGCAGATTCAATGAATATATTAGAATTTAAAGTGGAAGGACCTGTGACTGTCTAGTTGCAACATAACAGACAGATAAGAGAGCGTGCTTTAGAACTATCTGACTTGCATTTGGATTCTGACTCTGACATTCTCTAGCTCTACGAATGACACTGGACAAGTTTCTTAATTACTCTAAAATTTAATTTTCTCACCTGTGATTACAAAGCCACCTCAAGGGATTGTTGGGAGGAATTAAATGAAATGACGCAGACAGAGCACTTAGCACAGTTGTCTGTGGCACTTGCTAAGCATTCTGGTTGGGCATTTTTGTGGTGGGGTAAAAATAGACATCTAAGTCTGTTCATTCCTGTTTCAGAGTGGCTCTCCTATTGCAGGTTTACCTGCTACCAGTGTCTTTCTCAAGGGATTGTAGCATTTGAAGAAACTAAGAGGTTTGTTTACGTGATGGAGCTATTTTTCCAAAGGCAAATTAAGCAATGACTGAGGTACAAATTTGAGCATACTTCAGCTTCTAGTATGGAATGCTGTCAGAAATTTAATTTTTATTTTATTTTTTTGCTCCATCAATTAGGGAAGACAGAATTAGACAGAATTCTGAATTAGACAGAATTGCCTAGTAAGCACAGTTTATTTTTATTTGTTGACTTTCTTCAGTCTGGATACTTTCAGTGTCTTTTACATGTATCCTAAGCATCCTCCTTCCAAATCTCCACATGCTCTCATGGATCATGTGTTTCTTCTACATGAGAGGAAGTGATCTGGAAGGAAAATTTCTGGAAGCATATTATTGACTACTTAACTATATATACATATATTTAAATTAAATATTTTCACAGAAGAATGTTTATCCAAAGAGAGACCTATCAACACTTATTCTATGAGTTCGTCCAATCTATGACTTAACAATTTACATACCACTGACATTCAAATCGATATTACCATCTCAGAACTGTCTCTTGAACCCATACTGCATATTCAACTCCTTACTCTAGAGTATCCACTCCAAATTGATCTCTTGAATTCCTCCACAATCCTATTCCTCCCATAGTCTTTCCCATCTGGAAATACTATCCTTTCAATTACTCAGGTCAAAAATCTCAGGCCCATCTTTAACATGTCCTTATGCTCTACGTCCAGTCTGCCAAGAATTGTGTTGGCTTTGCCTTCAGAAGATAGCCAGAATTGGGTCCTTTTTTGTATTCATGGCTGCTACGTTTATCCAAATGCTCATGCCTCACCTGATTACTGCAATAGCTTCCCAACTCTTCTTTTTGTTTCCCTCTTCCTCCTCACTTTCCATAACATTTTCTCTGCACAGTAACTGTATTATTAATAGTTTTCTGTTGCTGCTTTTACAAATCACCAGAGACTGAGTGGCTTAAAACAATGCACATTTATGATTGTATAGTTCTACAAATCAGAAGTCTGAAACGGGTCTTGCTGGACTAAAATTAAGGTGTTGGCAGTCTGTGTTATCTCCTGGAGTCACTAGGGGAGCATCAGTTTCCTATTCATTCCAATTGTTCACAATTCAGTTCTTTGTGGCTCTAAAACCAAGGTCCCTGTTGTTTCGCTAGCTGTAAACTAAGTGTCATTCCCTGCTTCTAGAGGCCACCACATTCCTTTGCCACCATCTTCATAGCCAGCAATGGCAGAGAGGATCTTTCATATGTTACATCTCTCTGACTCAGTCTTGGGTCTCCCTCTTCCACTTTCCACCTTTGTCACTCAAGTGATCAGACTGGGTTCACTTAGATAATCCATCTCAAGGCCCTTAACCTTAATCACTTCTGTAAATTCCCTTTTGCCATGTAAGGTAATAAATATATTTACAGATTCCAGGGATTAGGAAGTAGACATGTTGGAGGGATCATTACTCTACCTACCACAGTAACTAAAGTGACTAATTTTAACTGTAAATCAGATCATGCTGCTCCTCTACTTGAAGACCCTCCAATAGCTTTGCATTCATTCATGGTGAAAGCCAAAGCCTTCAGTAGCCTACAGAGCCCTCCTTGAGATGACTCCCTCTCTACATTTGGACTTCATCTTCTATTATTCTTTACTTCTCATTCATTGCAATCTAGCCACATCAACCTTCTTCAAGTACTTGGATGACATCAGGCATGTTCTCTGCTTAAGACCTTTGCATTGGTTCCCATACCTGGAATATTCTTTCTTCTGCCGTATGTTCTTCAGATATTTGCATGGCAAATTCCCTCCAAGTTTTGCTCAAATTTTATTTTCTGTATAAAGCTACCTTCACCTCCTTCGAATCCAGGTACTTCCATTTCTGTTCTCCAAAGCACTCATCATTTTCTAACATACTATATAGTTTACTTATTTATTATGTTTACTGTTGCTCTGCCTTCTCCTCCTATAATGTAAGCTCCATGAGGGCAGGGATGGTTGTTTTATTCACAGGATGATTACAGCTTCATGGAACCAACTTCATAGCAAATTTTCAGTAAATGTTTTAAAATGACACAGTAAATGAAGAACAGTCTGATTGTGGCACTAGAGATACTGGTAGCTATAATGGAGAATTTTGTTATTTTTGTCTGCTCCATTACACACATAGTCACATACATGTGCTGCTGTCACACAGTGTTAAATTCAAATATGATTACTAAACAGAAAATTATGATGCTATCATATCAATGCAAAATTTCAAAATGAGTTATGTTTATAAACTTTGTAAAATTACATATTTTTTTGCATTCTCCATTACCTTCGTAGGGAATAAATTTTCCTTGGCACTCCATAGGATGGGTTTTACAAAATCTTTCTTCTCCAGGACATTAAAAATGTTCTGAGGCCGGGTGTGGTGGCTCACGCCTGTAATCCCAGCATTTTGGGAGGCCGAGATGGGCGGATCACTAGGTCAGGAGATCGAGACAATCCTGGCCAACACGGTGAAACCCCGTTTCTACTAAAAATACAAAAAATTAGCCGGGCGTGGTGGCGGGTGCCTGTAGTCCCAGCTAGTGGGGAGGCTGAGGCAGGAGAATGGCGTGAACCGGAGAGGCGGAGCTTGCAGTGAGCCGAGATTGTGCCACTGCACTCTAGCCTGGGCAACAGAGCGAGACTCCGTCTCCAAAAAAAAAAAATGTTTTGAGTTTGATCTTCGTATGTAAATCAGGGCTTACAAAGTCTTAAATGATCTGGTCCTCACTAACCTCTCCAACATCTCTCACCTGCCTGTCCTATCAAAATGTGTAATTAAAATAAAAAGTGCTCATCAGTTACTCCACATTTTACATCCTTGATTGCACTTAGTTCTGTCTTGACTCAAGGATTAACATGTGCCATTTTTCTTCCTGTATCCAGCCCTTGCTCCTTCCCCCTTCACCTGGCAAACCTATACTCTTTGTCAGTTTCAGCTTCATGACACTTTATCAAGGTAGTCTTCGCTGACTCTGGGTATCTGGGAAAGATACCTCTTTTATGTGTTCCCATAATCTCTACGTTTTCCCTAGAGTACTACTTTGGAGCTGTATTATTTTACTTTCTAGATTCCCTACACTAGGCTAACAGCTCCATGAGAGCAGGGAACATGATATTCTCTTCTACCAATGGACTCCAGTGCCTAGCAAAGTATCCTGCACATAGATGATCAATACATGTTTGTTATGAAGTGAATTGTGTGCCCCCTCTTCATATATGGAAGCCCTAACCTGAAATGTGATAGTCTTAGGAGATGGGCCCTTTGGGAGACAATTAGATTTAGATGAGGTCATGAGGGTGGAGTCCTTATGATGGGATTAGTGACCTTATAAGAAGAGATATCAGAGAGATTGTGCTCTCTCTCTCTCCCCCTCTCTCTCCCCCTCCCCCCTCCCCCCTCCCCTCTCCCTCTCCCTCTCCCTCTCCCTTTTGCTCTCTCTCTGCCATGTGAAAACACACAGTGAGAAAGTGGCTGTCTGCAAGCCAGAAGAGAGCCTTTAACAGAATCCAATCACGCCGGCACCCTGATCTTGGATTTGCAGCCTCTAGAACTGTCAGAAAATAAATTGTTTTTGTTGAAGCCACCAAGTTTATGGCATTTTGTTATGGCAGCTCAAACTAACTAATGCACATGTTTGATGGATTAAATGAATAACTAAGTAAAAAAATCAATGACTGAATGATTATTTAACAGTGATAATTATCTTATGATCCTAGGCCACTTTGGTGTCTCAGTTGGCCTGGTATTTTTGAGCCTGTAGATGTTATATTTTCTTGCTTTTTTTTTTTTAATGGACATTTTCTTGGTCAACATGATATAATGGAAACTCCAGATCTTCTAGTACATAACAAGACTTTGGGTTTTATGTTAGAAAGGTATTTTCCAAGCTCAATTTAAGAAGAACCATATATCTGGCTGTAGAAATATTGACACTATGAAATCCAAAATTGTTGACTATTTAATAACTACTGCTATGATCGTGTTAATTATATTGAAATAAATCTCCCAGCTAGAAAACAACTGATATGGAGAAATAAGAGGTATTTCATATATATGAAACAAAGACATGGAGAAAGTAAAGCATTTATACTACATACCACAAGAGGTAAATATATTTGCAGAATAGTAAATGGAGAAATATTTTTCTCTTTTTTTTTTTTTTTTTTTTTTGAGACGGAGTCTTGCTCTGTCGCCCAGGCTGGAGTGCAGTGACGGGATCTCGGCTCACTGCAAGCTCCTCCTCCTGGATTCACGCCATTCTCCTGCCTCAGCCTCCCGAGTAGCTGGGACTACAGGCGCCCGCAACCACGCACGGCTGATTTTTTTTGTATTTTTAGTAGAGACGGAGTTTCATCGTGTTAGCCAGGATGGTCTCGATCTCCTGACCTCGTGATCCGCCCGTCTCGGCCTCCCAAAGTGCTGGGATTACAGGCGTGAGCCATTGCGCCCTGCCGAGAAAGATTTTCTATTCCTGGTGGATCCGAGGAGACAGAAAGCTTTTCAAGGGCAAATGCCTGCCTTGTATAAATATGAATAACTTCTTAAAGAAGTTACCCTTCTTTAGTTAAGAACTCACTGTGATGTTATGTAAAAAGAATTTGTCTAACATTCAGAAGGTCTGAGTTTGGGTTACACAGTTAGTAAATAGTGGTCCACTAATTCTTTTTTTTCTTTCTTTCTGAGACGGAGTTTCGCTCTGTCTCCCAGGCTGCAGTGCGGTGGCGCGATCTCGGCTCACTGCAAACTCCGCCTCCCGGGTTCACGCCATTTTCCTGCCTCAGCCTCCTGAGTAGCTGGGACTACAGGCGCCCGCCACCACGCCCGGCTAATTTTTTGTATTTTTAGTAGAGACAGGGTTTTACCGTGTTCGCCAAGATGGTCTCGATCTCCTGACCTCTTCGTCCGCCCGCCTTGGCCTCCCAAAGTGCTGGGATTAGAGGCGTGAGCCACCGCGCCCGGCCGGTCCACTAATTCTTTTAAACTCTGTAAGGCATTTTTTTTTCCTGTTTAAATATATATCGACATTAGATAGCTTTGGCTGTGGCAAAGAGGACCTGCTATTGTAGGTCTGTGGGCTGGCAGTGACTGGGCGGGGCTCATCTGAGATTGGCGGGGCTCGGCTCTGTGCCATGTACTGTCTCATTCCGGAACATGGACGGAAGGCGGGGTCGCTGTTGGGCATGCTGTTCTCAGGAGGGCAAGCAAAGCTCTGGGGCACTGCTTCTGAAAGCCTCTGCTCACAATCGGCAGCTGACACCTGCAGACAATCTCCACTGTTGCAAGTAAGTCATATCGTCAAACAGCAAGTCTGAGGTTGGTGATACACTGTGCTTTGCCTATTGGAAGGAAAGAAATTAATGGAAGCAATAATTCAATATACCACACTCCCTCATTGAGTTGTTGAGTGAATTAAATGTGTTTATTGTATTTTTTTTCTTAACACTAAAGATTTAAGCATAGGTATCAGCATGAGAAATAAAAGGGAGCTACTTTAGCCAGTGGGGCATTATTGTAGACATTAGCAATCAGTTACAGAAGGCTAAGAAGCAAGGGAATACTAGAAAGATATGATAATTAAACTCACTACATTTAAAATAAAAGATGGAAGAAATAACATAGCTTGCAGCAGTCTGGTGAAGAATTTCAGATACGAGGGAGAGATTTTATTATGAACATTTTCTAGTATGGCTTAGGCTTATTTTACTAAAGTAATGCTTACTTGTAAATTATTTCTGTCCATTAAATATTTTGCAATATATTCTAACAGACAAAGTTTGTTCTACATATTCTAACAGCAAAAATTTTTTTGTTGTCAAAACTTTAGATGTGTTCTTATGTGTAATAATGTTTCTTTTTGAATAAGCAGGGAACAAGCATGTGTAAAATTGTGTGCTTAGTTGGTATTACAGTATAATCTTAGGTATTTATCTGATGCCAGCCTCTAGGAAAGTAGTAACTTTTACTAAACATATATGCTCTAGTGCAGGAGGCTCTGGAGCCTTGTACCATCAATTATCCACTTTCTCTTTATTCTAGTGGCTTCTTTATCAGGGAACATAGAAAGGGCCCTATTTCTAGTTTCTATTAATACTACTGATAAGGGAGGGGAAAACCCTCCTTCCAATCAGTGTTTCTTTCTACGTAGCACCATATTATTCTTCAGTGATGTATCTGGGTCTTTGTCGGCTCAATTTTTTTACAATTTCCTCCATTCCTTCCTCAATCCATTGTAGTCTTTTTTTTTTCCTCTGTCATTGATTTAAATTATTAGAATGTTGTTGATGATGTCCTAATATTAAACGCAATGGAAAATTTCCAATTCCTATATTACTTTGACTCCTCTGATACTTGACACACTATGAGACATTCTCCCGTGAATTCTCACTTTCTTTGGCCGATGTGACATCCAACCTTTGGTGCCCCATCCACCTGAAAGATCACTCCATCTTTTTCTTTACTGACAGTTCTCTGTCATCCTTCTATGATGTGGCATTCTTCAAAGATTCATCTTCAGGTCTTTGGAAATGTTACGCACTGTCATCCTTATCCTGGGTCTAACCATTATCTTTCAGCTTATATATCCAGTCTAAATCAGTTTCTGAGCTCCAGACTCATTTCACTGTACTTCTCATTTTTACTTAGCCAACATGAACTTCAAGCTTGATGAGTTCAAATGGAAAACGATATTCTCAACACTCTTCTCTCTTCCTTTTTTCCTTCTATGTTTTATATCTCAGTTAATACTGATGTTTAGAAGGAGCTCAGACCTCTACATTAAATAAAAATAGTGTGTAATTTTGCTCTTAACATATAGTATGACTAAGATTAGTTTTATTCATCATATTTTAAAGCCAATGGAAGTAGAGTCAAATCAATATAGTTTTTGCTGAAAAATTGTGGCAAATTCTAGAGTATTAGTTTTTTATTTGGGACAATATATTTAAAACTTAAGAATTATTGGCTGGGCATGGTGGCTCACACCTGTAATCCCAGCACTTTGGGAGGGCCAAGGTGGGCGGATCATGGGTCAGGAGTTCAAGACCAGCCTGTCCAACATGGTGAAACCCAGTCTCTACTAAAATAAAAAAAATTAGTCTCTACCAAAAATGTAAAAATTAGCCAGGTGTGGCACCCATAATCCCAGCTTCTCTGGAAGCTGAGGTGGGAGAATCACTAGAAGCTGGGAGGCAGATGTTGCAGTGAGCCGAGATCGGGCCATTGGACTCCAGCCTGGGCAACAGAGTGAGACTCCATCCTAAAAAAAAAAAAAATGTCAGTGATATCAACATGAGAATGGAAACTTTTTTAAAAAATTTGTGTTTTAGCACCTAATGCATTGCCAATTACAATGCCAGTAAAGAAATTAAAAATATCATTAAGATGTATTTATAGTAGTTTACATGGTATAAAATAACTTCAATCATGTGTGTTTTCTTAGACTTTAAACTATTTAACATATTTATACCTAAGAAATAAAAAGGACCACATAACATAATAAAAAAAGAAGAGAAAAGTTCAGCTTTCACGGTATTAGTGTGGCAAAGCAGACTTTCATGAATTCAATCAGAAAGGTATGTTAGTCTTGGCTATAGCTTATGACACTGAAATTCATGGTTATGGAGGTGATGGATGAGGCTATTTGTCAATAAAATAATTTCATAAAATTAATGAGAATAAGAAGATAATTTTGATTAGAAATGGGCAAAGACAAGGAAAAGGAGGTTCACTAAAGTCTTTGAAAGACAGAAAAATATTATTTTAAAACTTCCTGGAGGCCAGGCTCAGTGGCTCACGCCTGTAATCCCAGCACTTTGAGAGGCTGAGGCAGGCAGATCACCTGAGGTCAGCAGTTCGAGACCAGCCTGGCCAACATGGTGAAACCCCATCTCCACAAAAATACAGAAAAAATTAGTCGAGCATGGTCATATTTGCATCTAATCCCAGCTACTCAGGAGGCGGAGGCAGGAGAATTGCTTGAACCCAGGAGGTGGAGGTTGAAGTGAGCTGAGATCGTGCCACACATTTCTAAATGATGTTTATGCTGGGCTTTTCCCAATACCCATAGTTCTATTGGTCTCCATGAAATATTTCATATGAGTAGCAAAGTGTTATAGAAAATAAAGGCATATATTTTTAATTCTTATTTTTTATTAAGATGAATTTTTGATAATTAATATTACTTTATTCATATGCTTTTGCTGTTGTGTTATGAACTTTTTTCTTCCTTTAAAAAATAATTCATGATTCACTTTTAAACTACTTTAAAAGTAATTCATGCTTCATAAAGATATTTTGGAAAATAAAAAGAAATGGTAACTCACCCAAATTATTGGGTGTTTCGGTAAATTTCATTTTAGTCTTTCTCTCTGCACACACACACACACACACACACTAACACACACACGACACATATTTACATCTACATCTATATAGATCAATAATGATTGACATATTATAAAAAAAATTTTTTTCTAAACATATATCATGTCCTGTATTTTTCACTTGATATTATAATACATTCTCTACATTTCATAAAGACATTCTGTACATTATATATAGAGAGAATGAAATGTCTAATATTCCTCTGAATGTAGATTCCTAACATTCCACTAAAGATTGAAAATCTAAATTATTTTCAGTTTTTCATAATCAGAGACTGTTCTCACAAATGAAAAATTCTATATCATAGTCTATAGATATTAAGACAACTAATAATATGTGATATTAAATTTTTACTCCTATCATCAATGTATGAGAGTAGCATTTTTGTTTTGCTGTTAGTACCATTTTAGTGTCTCCCCAAAAGTATTTGCTAATGAAAATGTTCAAAATAAGATATTAATATTTCAAATTTATAATGCTGATATTACCAAAGAGAACACATACTTTCTACATTTTCAAATTTATTTATGAAGGTATTCCTGTTGTTCATTTACATATTGGAATCTTTGCATTTCTCTTAGTAGCTTGTACACTCTCTCTCTTCCTTCTTTTATAAAATATTAATCCTTTGAGCCAATGAATTGAACCCTTAAAAATTCTTTATGTGGTAATACTTTTTGATTTTCTCCAGTTACTGCAAATATATTCTTAATTGTCTTTACTCGTTTTAGCATAATTTGTATAATAAATAGCAAATAATTTTAGTTGTTTAAAACAGTGAAATATGTTAATCTAGTTATTTTTTAAAAATATTTTCCATTGCTTGGAAACTTAGACTTTACCTTCTTCACTAATTTGATCATTTTATATATATATATATATAAAAAATTACATCTGTTACATTCATCATTCATTACATCTGTTTATGGTTTTATTTTCATGTTTACATATATGTATATTTTTGGTCTTATTTTCATATATTTTTATATATGAGAAATATAGACTAGTAAATATATATAAATTGATGAACTATATATATAAATATATAAATACATATGTAAATACATATACATTTATGAATTGATTTTCATGTATTTAACTTTTTAATTCATCTGAGATTCCTTTTTGCCTTTAGAGTAAGAAATACTTTGAATTCTTTTTCATTTTTTGTCTAAGTAATTGTCTCAACCTTTTGGTGCTGCATTTTAAATTTTATTTTATATATACTAGAATGAATTTTGTAAATTGTTCTTGAGATGAGCTATGATGAAAAATTGCCTGGGTTAAAATCTCTCCTTAATTTTCTGTTTGGAGACTAGTTTTTTAATAAGCACTTTGTCTCAGCTTCCTCATCCGTAAGAAGGGGAGAACAGTAATAATAATGATAGCACCTATGGCAAATAGTTCTCTGAAGGATGGAGTTAATTTATATTTAACAATTATCCTATGACCAGGCCGTTTTTATTATTTTACTTTGTTTTGATGAAATGTTTTTCTTGTTTTTTTTTTGCTCAATAAAATATTGTAAGAATTTTTATGGTTGTATAATATCTTCTACAGGATCTATATTTGGTTATAGATAATTCTTTCAGTAAAATTAAAATGTTTAAATTTAATGTTTTTTGTTAAATATTTTAGTTACATAGTGCTAAGCATGTAACAAATGATCAGCAAATATTTATTTAAACAGAATTAACTAAAAATGCAAAAGTTTTAAAGATTTATTGCACACAGTTCACAGTCAGTACAAAGTAGAAAATCAGTCCTGAAAGAGAATACTAGGGAACAGAATCATAGGTAATTACTTGCTTCAACATCATCGCCTATCTACTCTAGTGACACAAGTACTCTTTTTCCTAAGAAATACTATCGCCAACAAGAAAGAGACCCTTACAGACTCATTCTTCCATCTATCTATTCTTCCCTGGGTCTATCCATCTGTCCATCCTTCCCATCCTTCTGTCCATCCATCCATCCATTCGTCCATCCACCTCTTTATCTATACTTCTTTGTAAACCTGCAACCCTGACCCCATCTGATTTAATAGGATTGTGTATTTTGCTCAAGCTGGGTCAAACATGCTTTCTGTTCTGGGACTTAGAATTTGGGCAGAACATTAGCCCTGGCTCTGAAGTGAGGGAAAGACAGAAAGGATTAATCAGTCCTGAAAGCTAATATGTATCAGTCGAGCACAGTAATGACAAAGAAAATAGCTCCCTGGTAATGACCCAACACAATTCTCTGAGCTGTCAAATTAAAGTACTGAAATGCTATCCTAGTTATGGACAGGGGAAAAGCACTCTAAACTTCAGGTAATTTCAATGCATGAAGAAAAGAGTGAGTTGTTTACATTTAATAATAAATTGTTTCATAACAAAACAATTTGGTTTTGTTGTAAAATAAATTTGGTTTATGTAAAATAAATAAAACTGAATATAATTGTGTTTCGATAAAACTAAAACTTCCAAGTTGTCACTTCTTTGCTCTCTTAACCCTCAAATAAATGGTCCAATTATTAATTAACACATAAGAAAGGCTTATAAATAAAAATTGCAATCCTCAATGCAATGCTTAGGAAGATAACTGCCGGTAATCATTGTGGTGTGTATATCTATGGGGAAATTATTCAAATATATTTTTAAAACAATTTAAGGACAACTAATTGTAACAAGGAAGCTTCTAGAACATGTTTAAGACATTTCCTGGATTGTCCTCCTGAAGGTAGACTGCATGACCACTGTACTCAACAAGCTTACAGAGGGGCCAAACGGTGGCCCTTAAGGAAAACTGATGAAACTGATGTGTTTTAGAATATCTACACATGTGGATTCGAAGTCCCTTGTGATGAAGGATAGAGCCAGGGTAGGAAAAGAAGGGTGGGGATATGCAGATCCAGGGCCCAGGGGCTGGTGTGGCTGATTCTCCCTGTCCCAACATGTGGCAGATCATTAAACAGTTATGCTTATCAGGGGAGGAGGTTAGAACATAGTTTGTTTAATGAGTTTTTCAGACGTTTCAGCAATTTGAAGAATTGATTTATAAATTTTACGTATTTTGACATATGGTTTGAGGGCTTTATTTGTATTGTCACAATCTCTGCAAATATTAGGGGTGGGTCTGATGGAATGCAATCAATTTTGTGGGCATATGTATGAATGCAATTTAGTGTAATTTTTTCTGATACAGGATTTCCAACAATGATCTCATAGAATGAAATGAATTTCACACCCAGGACTTGACTTTACTTACATGACTCTAACTATAGACCCCCTTACAAACGTATACTATGCCTTAAAATTAACAGTACTCTGGGGCTGTTATTTTTACAGGTTTAGAATATCAGATAGATTTGCACATTTAGCCTTAGTTTCTTGTTTTAGTATCTATCATAGATTTTAAAAAATCATCTCAAAATCACTTTTCCTTAATTAATAGAAAAATAAAATGTTCCCTCTCAAGAGGAAGAACTACCCTTTTGAAATACATTTTTCTGGAGCTTATAGGGTCAGAACTGTGGCTCTTTATTATATATCTCAAATAATATCTCAGCTATGTCAGCCTGGGTGCTTTAGAAAAAGAAGTAATTGCTTATCCTTTCAGATAACAATGGCCAACACTGAAACATAATCTTGCAGTTATTCATGCTTTAGTTAGACTTACTAAAGAACATTCCATCAAAAAAGTTTTAATATATGCATAATTATTTGTTTCTAAAACATACCATCTTTCCCCAAGCACAAACTGGCAAGACTTCCCCTAGCATCCCTATAGAACCAATTCTTCAAATACCATATCCCATGATTTAGATATAAAGAAAATGTAAAAACAAAAACAAAGGTTTATTGAAACATATACTTTTGGGTTAAACATATACTTCTCATCTTCATGAAAAGCCATCTCTTTTAAACTAACCTAGCTGATAAAATTCTTAAGGGGAAGAGATATCCTGAAATGATACAAATCCGTTTGCAGAGCCCAGATGTACGTGGAACAAGGTATTTGGGTGCTCACTTTATTTTTAGATTTTTCATACTTTTTTTTTAACCCAGTCCAAGCCCTAAGAGGTACACTTCTGCTCCCTTCTCACCTCCTTGCAAGAAAATAATTAAGGTTACTATATTCCTTGATAGATATAGGAGTTTGAATAATTTCTAGTAGCTTGGAAATAAAGTAATGGTTTCCTTTTAGGCATCCCAGTACCTACATTTATAATTGTTCATGCAATCTCATTACTTTGGGATCAAAACTTATTAAGCAGCACTCTGTTAACTGAAACAACAATAGACAACCCTCTTCGGATTCCTTTTTGATGTCAGACTAATGATTGACTGCCAAGATGATTTATGGCTTCCTTTTTAAAATAAAAGATAAGATAAATGACAGAAATACTTTCTGGCAATAAACCAAAGTCCTCCTGACTGAAGAAATAGTTATTATTTTTCTTTCTCAGAAAAAATAAAAACGTCAAATATTTAAATGTGGTATTTTATGTTGGGGATATTCAGAATAATGTATATTTCTAGGTAAATTCAAAAATCAATGAATATTGAGTGTCTTACCTCAGACTTTACTAAAATTTTGGTTGGATTAAAAGTTCATGACTGGGTGCAGTGGCTTACACCTATAATCCCAGTACTTTGGGAGGCCAAGTTGAGAAGATCACCTGAGGTCAGGAGTTCCAGACCAGTTTGACCAACATGGTGAAATCCCGTCTCCACAAAAATACAAAAAAATAGCCAGGCGTGGTGGTGCATGCCTGTAATCCCAGCTACACAGGAGGCTGAGGCAGGAGAATTGCTTGAATCCTGGAGGTGGAAGTTTCAGTGAGCCAAGATTGTGGCACTGCACTCCATCCAGGGCAACAAAGCGAGACTCCACAGCAAAAAAAAAAAAAAAAAAAAAAGTTCAATACAGAAAAAAACAATTGAAAAATAAAGAAAATATAAATTAATATTTATTAAACCCTTTGATACAGGAAGGTTTTCTAGTTTAAAATTAGTCAAAGTGATCAGCAACATATCAATAAAGTAACTACGTAAAACACAATTTTACATAACAGAAAAAAAAATTGAACCGAAACTTTGAGTTAGTAAAATACATTTGGGAAAACAGCATTATTTATGCATCAGAAATGCAAATAACCTAAATTTCTGGATTATTCAATAAATAGAAGGTCCTTTAAGCACCACCTCAATGTTGCACCTGGAAACTTTGTTGTGGTATTTACAAAGCTAGTAGAGTAATATTAAATGGCAAAAGCAAAATGAAATTTCTAAAGGATAATTATAGCTATAAAGTACAGTTGGCCCCTTGTATTTGTGGGTTGCACAACAATGGATTCCACATCCATGGATTCAACCAACAGTGAATTGAAAATATTTGGGAAAAAATAAATGGATGGTTGTTCGTACTGAACATATGCAGACTATTTTTTCCCCCATCATTTTCCCCTAAACAGTACAGTATAACAACTATTTACATATCACATTGTGTTAGGTATTATAAGTAACCTGAAGATGATTTAACTTATACGGGAGAATGTGTGTGGTTTATATACAAATACAATACCATTTTATAGAAGGGATCTAAGTATCCACGGATTTTGGTATCTGCAGGGGATTCTGCAACCAAAACCTGCCTCCACCCCCTTGGATACTGAAAGACAACTGTTTTATGATTTTTTTTTTTTAAAAGAAAACAATTTACACCTACTTTTATGCACCCAAGGTTATAAGAATCAGTGATTTTCTTTTCCGTATTTTTCTATATGTTCTCAAATCTGAGTATTTATTATTTTTGTAATTGAAAATGAACTATTTTAAGAGAAGAGAGAAAACCAGTAAGAGCTCTAGTTAATATGATGGAGTGAAGGTATTTGTATTTTCACTCCAAAAAAACCTATTAAAATTATTGTGGAGGTTTTATAAATGTGTACAAATTATTTATTACTCCTCCCAATTGAGACATGGAGATCAATGTCTCCTCTCCTGAATCTGGGCTGATGTTAGTGATTCTCTTGTAACTAATGGAATGCACCAGGAGTCACGCTTAGTAATTCCTAGGCTAGGTCATAAAATCACAATGCAGATGCCTTTCTATGATCCACCTCACCTTCACATAACCCAGGTTTTCAATCGTTGAGTTGCTTCCAGTCACTGAGTCTTCCAGCTTAGCTCCCAGATATTTTAGAGCAGAGAAAAGCTAACCTTGCTGTCTTGTATGAATTTCAATCAAGGGACACAGAAAAAAATTACTTCTCTAAGATAATTTTGAGTTTTTTTTCATGCAACAATAGCAAAATGAAATAGAAAATCATTGGTATCTATGAGTCAGGTACTGCCACGGCAAAACTTCAAAAGTATGGCATTGGCTTTGGAACAAGGCGTGAGTAGAATTTGGAAGTGCCTTGAGGAAGGGCCTTGAGAATGCCCATGCAAATTCCCTGTGTTTTGGTTTCCCCTCAACAAATGCTAATTAATATCTGAAAGCAAAGGCATCCAATCAGTCCTACTATGAGCATTTTTTCTAAGAATGCATCTAATAGAACTAAGACATTCGTTGTCTAGACATCAACCCCTGAATAACAAGAGCAAGGAGAATTACATTTGCAGTAAATTATGTCATTGTTTCTTTCTCAGATTTTAAACATTTTTGCTAAATTGTGAATTATGGAGACATTTTATAGATGAAAGTTTCAGAAAGATGAGCAAAAACATATCCATAATATATCAACTATTATTATGAAAATTGGTAAATGAACAGAAAGACACTCTGTCGCTTTCTTCTACTTTCTTCTAGAAAGAGTTGACATCACACAGGTCTTATATCAGTAAGTTGGTTATTTGTCACCTCCCATTTATATTTTGACATTCATAGTATGAGATGCCTTCTCACCTGGTTTTGTTTTAAACTTTGAGGGATTCTGCTTTTGTTTTCTATTTTCTCTATCTGTATGTGAGGATTCACAGAAATTAAAAACCCACACTCAACTATGGAACCACTGCCATCTTCTCTGTAAGTAAATATTTATTTTATTGAACCATGTATCAGGCAGAAAAGTGTAAAATAATAACTGAGCATACTCAGATAACCACGAACTGACCAAAAGAAATCATATTGCAAATCATTCAGAAACATCCACCATCCCTCCCAGTCATTTTGCCGCCTTATGTGACCAGTGTTCTGACTTCTTTCACTACAGTGTATTTTTCACTTGTTTTTGTTCTATAGATAAGTGAAGTAATTTGGTATGTACTCTTTTGTGTTTTGTTTCTTAGTTTTTTAAATATGTATCTATGATTTTGTAAAGAGCAGTAATTTTTCAGTTTTCTTTGTTGTATGCTACTTCATTGTATGAGTATAGCAAAATATAATTAGTCTATTCTACATTGAATACATTAAATAACATTTTGGTTGTTTCCAATTTTTAACTATTACAAATAGTGCTTATATAAATATTCTTGTGCATGTCAAACATATATATGTATATATATATTTATTTTAGCTGCAGCTTTAAATTAGAATTATTGAGTCACAGGCTATGTGTACAATTACCTTTAGTTACAACCTCCATAACTTTATAAATTTATTCTGCAAATATTATTGTCTGCTTCATTGCTTGCCTTTGTACTCTTTTAATGACATTTTTTAATGAACAGAAATTCTGAATTTAAATGAAGTCTTTTATTTAACTGTTATTCTGTTAGTGGCTTTTATATTCATTTAAGACATTTTTACATTATAAGTCAAGAAGATGTTTTCTTACGTCATCTTCTGGAAACATTTTTAGATATACTATTCATGTGGATTTGGTTTTTGAGTGTAGTGTGAGGTAGAGATCAAGATTCATTTATTTTTGTCAGGTTTGAGATATTCAAATAACTCATTATACTATTCTCTCTTCTATTGTTAGTCTTTGAATAATTTATGATCGAATGTTTAAGATATGTGATTAACAATGCTATGTAGAGAGAGGAAAGAAAAAATTGAATGTGAAAAAAATAAACACATTAATTCAGTGTTATCTATGATATCTCCCCACTTCTGAAACGTTGAATCAGTTCATCAAATTCTGTTAGGTAATATTTCCAGGTCTATCGGGCCCACTTTTTGTTACTTCAGTTGCCCATGTTTGCTTATTTAATCTTTTATCTGTATGATTCACTGCTTTTCAATCTTCTAAATATAATGATTGATTCATAAAATAATAAAACAATATTTCTTTCTAGCTACTGAATTATAACAGCTAGACACTAATATGCATTCAGGATTCTTGTTATGGTTCCAATCTATCTAACAAGAACTATTTGCCAAGGCTTTGTTGCTGGAATAAACATGTACTTATTGCTACTTTCCTTAAATAACTTCTTGTAAGTGTTAAAAGCCTATCTTAGGTACAAGCTACAGTCCACTTGGTTTAGTTAGAGTCACTAACTAGTTATGAATAACAGTGGAACCCACAGTTTGATGAGGAAAGTGCAGGGCAATTTGATTTACAATTATACAAATTTTGCAAATAATATCTACTATTAAACAATTTAATACCAAGAAAACATCAATACTCTTAACAAAACACAACAATAAATGGTGAGCAGCCTAAATAAAATAAATATTTCGTATATATCCACATTATTCAAGATTAACTGATCTACTATTTTCATCCCTTAAACACAGTTGTCACTTCCCTGACTAAATATTAATCCATCATCTGAATCCAATGGAGTGAGGCTGCCCCAGAGACCCCAGAATCTTGTGCTGCAAGCACAAGACTTCAACGTATGAGAGCTGCTGTGGGTGAGAGCTCACAGGTGTGATTGATGCCATTATAAAAGGTCAAGGCCAGTCCCCTCTTGCTCTCTCCTGCTCTTTCACCTTCTGTCATGAGGTGATGTAGCAAAAAGGCCCTAACCAGACACTGGACCCTTGATGTTGTACTTCCCAGTTTCCAGAACTGTCAGCTAATACATTGTTATTCTTTATAAGTTACCCAGTCTCAGCTATTCTTTCATAGTAGCACAGAAGGGACTAAGGCACTAGGGAGCCTTTCTTTTTAGAATATTGGTAAAATTAAGGCATGCTTAATGATAATTAGAATAAGTAGAAGAACAGTGAGGAAAAGACAGCTTTTGGAGAGTCTTAAGGTTATCAATGCAAAAGTAAAACTGGGAGAGAAAAAGATGCTTGATATAGGGAGAAAATGTGCTTTCTAAGAAATTGGATGCAAGGATGCTAGGTGGGGAGGAATATAATGCAGTTCTAACTTGTTTATAGGTGATTTTGTTTATAATTAGAACTACTTGAAACTGATAGAATTTCAGCAAACTTCTTTCCATAGATGAAATACATTAGTACTTGTTGAAGGGTCAGGATGATCTGATTTTATATCCAAGTTCTACCATTTATAGGCAGCAATTTTTTTATTCAACAAATATTTGCTAAACACCTGCTATAGGGTACTAGAGATACATATTGTACAAGACAGACAATGCTCCTGCCTTCTCAGGGTTTATTATTATAAGCCCTGAAATGCACAACATATAGCATCAAAGTATTAACATATGTGATACTTCAGGTAGTGAAAGCACTACGAAAAATTGAAAAATGCAATCAAAGTCAGTACCAGTGTTTGCGTATAATATAATCATGGGAAACCTTCCTGAAGAATGACATTTTAGCACACACCTATACGAAGTACAAGGACAAGCCATACCAAAAATTTTGGAGAAGAGCAGTCCACACAAAGAAGCCAGTACATGTAAATACTCAAAATCAGAATAGTCTGTCATGTGTGTAGAAGAACTGAAGAAGTATGCAGGCGACAGTAGGTCATGCCACAATGTTGATTGCTAAGTTGATGTGAAACCAATGGGTTGTTTTAAATGATGTGTTCTGATTCATACTTGAGGTAGGTCACTCTATTTGGTGTGCAGAGAATAGACTTTAGTAAGCAAATTTGAAATCTGAGAAAAAAGGTAATATTCTTTCACAGTAGTCAAGGCAAGAGGTGATTACAGCTTGTTCTAAAAAAAGCTATTGAGATAATGAGAAATGATCACACTTGGGACATATTCTGAAGGCAGAGGTGGACATACTTTCAGATGGATTGGGTGTAGAACACAAGCAAAGGATAAAAATTAAGGAAAGTCCTTTGATTCTGTGCAAATTTCTGAACAATAGTACCACCTTTTAAAAAGACTGGGAAAAGAGCGAAACTGGATGAATAACAAAGAAGGGCGTCTGAAGTTCCCTTTTGCACTTGTTCAGTTCAAGGTACTTTGGGGGCTGTCAAGTAGAAATGTTGAGTATGATTATTGACGTTACATATGAGACTGAATCTGAGAGAACAGACTGAAGTTACAAATACAAATTTGGGAGTCATTAGCCATATTAAGCCATGGGGTATGATGAACTAGAACATGAAATGAATATAGATGTAGAAAATGTAAAAGGGGAAAAAGAATTTATTTAACTTCTGTGGGTCTCATATTTTATCAATAAAATGGGAAATACAGATATGTTGGAAATATTAAATGTAGTATAAACTACATTGAACAGTTTGGCACATAAGAGGTCAACAGATGTGAAATATCATCAAAGCCAATCTAATTTGATTTTGAAATGACATAAGCTTATAGTAGAAAAATATGACTTAAAATTATTGCTCTCTCTCTATATATATGGATTTAAAAAGCATTTCACAAAATCCAACACTCAACGCATAATAAAAACTTTAGCAAACTTGAAACAGATGGAAACTTCTGCAATTTGGTAAAGAACATTGACAAAATCCTACAAATAGCATCATACTTTATGATGAGATAATGGACACTTTCTCAATAAAATTATCAATAAGACAAGGATGTCCCCTCTCATGCCATTATGTTTAACATCATATTAAAAGTCCTAGATAGTCAATAATACAAAAAGGAAAATAAGAAGTACACAATTTAAAGTATACACATTGTAAGGAAGAAATACAGCTCTTTAGTTGTAGATGATATGACTGTCTATGTAAATGTCTATGTAAATGTCTATGTCTATGTAAAAAAAAAAAAATCCCAAAGAATTGACAGAAAAAATCTAGAAACTGGTGACTATAGCAAAGTAGCAGGCCACAAAGTTAACAACACATCAAAGTCAACTGATTTCCTATATATCAGCACCAAACAATTGAAATTTGAAATTAAAAAAATTAAATAGCACCAAAGATGATATACTAATGTATAAATTGAGCAAAATATGAACAGATTATTTACAAAAAAGTATAGAACTCTGATGAAAGAAATTAAAGAAGATTGAAATAAATGGAGAGAGATTCTGTGTTCATGGATTGGAAGAATCCCTATCATTAAAATCGCAATTCGTCTTAACTTGATCTATAGTTTCAGTGCAACTTTTATGAAAACCCCAGCAAACCATTTTATAGGTATCAAAATACTGATTCTAAATTTATATAGGAAGGCAAAGTCCTAGAATAGCCAATAAAATACTGAAGATAAACAAAGTAGAATGTGTCGCTTATCTGTTTTCAAGAATCACTGTCAAGTTACAATAATAAAGACAGTATGATAGTGGAACAGAATGAAGAGCCCCAAAATAGATACATACAAAATAGGTAACTGATTCTTGCCAAAGAAGAAACTACAATTCAATGGATAAAGGACAGTCTTTATATTTTGTTGGTATTGTATCAATAAAAGGGGAAATACAGATATGTTGGAAATATTAAATGTAGTATAAACAATTAATGAAACAATTATTTGTCCATATTAAAAAAATGAACTTACACTCAGACCTTACACATCTCACAAAACTTAACTAAAAATGGAACATGAACCTAACGATAGACCTAAATATAAGATGTTAAACAATAAAACTTCTAGAAGAAAACATAGTGGAAAACCCATTTGGCCTTGTGTTTGGTGACAAGTTTGTACAAAGCCAAAAGCACAATCCATGAGAAAAACTGATAAGGTGGACTTTATTGAAATGAAAAACTTCTGTGAGGAAAACTGTTAAAAGAATAAAAATATAAGCTACACACTGGGAGAAAATATTTGCAAAGCACATATCTGATATAGATTTTATATTGAAAAGATAGAAAAAATTGTTTAAAACTCATCCATAAGAAAACAAAGAACACAAGTAAAAAATGGGGAAAATATTTGAACAGACATCTCACCAAAGAAGACAGAGCAGTGTCAAAAACAAAACCTTACATAAATATACTCAGTATTAATTTGTTATTGGGTAATTGCAAGTTAAAACAACAATGACATACCACTATATGCCCATTAATGTAGATAAAACCCCAAAAATGAACAATACAAGTTGGTGGCAAGGATATGGAGCAACAGGAATTCTCATTCATTGCTGGTGGGAATGCAAAATGGTACAGTCACTTTGAAAACAGATTTCCAGTTTCTTACAAAGCTAAGTATAGTCTTATCATAGACCCCAGCAATCATGTTCCTTGGTATTTGCCCAACTAATTTGAAAATATGTATGTTCACACAAAAACCTGCACATGAATATTTATAGCAGTTTTATTCATAATTGCCAATAGCTGGAAGCAACCAATTTGTCCTCCATAGGTGAAGGGACAAACTGTACAGTGGAATACCCATAAAATATTAGGCTATTAAATGTAATATAAACTGGATAGAACATTTTAGCACATAATAAGAGGTCAATAAATGTGAAATATCATCAAAACCAATATAAGTTAATTTTGAAATAATATAAACTTTATGGTGCAAAAACAGAAAACTTAAAATTATTGCTCAAAATATGTATGGATTGAAAAAGCATTTCACAAAATACAACACTCATGCATGATAAAAACTTCAGCAAACTTGATTTACTGATATCAAAACATGAAAGTCATGAAGGAAAACTTAAAGGCATATTGGTAAGTGAAAAAAGCCAGTCTAAAGACTATATAATGTGTGATTCCTATTTTATCACCTTCTTAAAAAGGCAAAACTATAGAGATAGTGGAAAGATCTGTGGCTGCCAGGAACTTGGGAACTAATTGAGAGAATTAAATAGTTAAAATACAAGAGAATTTTTTTTTACAGTGATCAAACTTCTGTATCGTACTATAATGACAGATGTGACATTATGCATTTGAAAAACCCACTGTGAGGATTAATATTGAGTGTCCACTTGATTGGATTGAAGGATGCACAGTATTGTTCCTGGGTGTGTCTGTGAGGGTGTTGCCAAAGGAGATTAACATTTGAGTCACTGGAATGGGAGAGAGAAACAGACCCTCAATCTGGGTGAGCACCATCTAATCAGCTGTCAGTGCCGCTAGAATAAAGCAGTCAGGAGAAGATGGAAGAGCAGACTTGCTGAGTCTTCCAGCCTTCATCTTTCTCCTGTGCTGGATGCTTCCTTCCCTTGAACATTGGGCTCCCAAGTTCTTCAGCTTTTGGACGCTTAGACTTACACCAGTGGTTTGCCAGGGGCTCTTGGGACTTTGGCCCCTGACTGAAGCTGCACTGTCGGCTTCCCTACTTTTGAGGTTTTGGAACTCGGACTGATCCACCACTAGTTTCTTTGTTCCTCAACTCGAAGATTGCCTATCATGGGACTTTATCTTGTGATCATGTGGCTCCATTCTCATTAAACATCCTTTCATATATACATACACCCTATTAGTTCTGTCCCTCTAAGGACCCTAATACAGATTTTAGTACCAAGACAAGTTACTCTATTAGTTCATTGTTATGCTGCTATAAAGAACTGCCCAACACTGGGTAGTTATAAAGGAAAGAGGTTTAATTGACTCACATCTCCACATGGTTAGGGAGGCCCCCAAAAACTTACAATCATGGCAGAAGGGGAAGCAAATATGTCCTTCATATGGCAGCAGGAAGGAAAAGAATGAGAGCCGAGCAAAAGGGAAAGCCCCTTATAAAACCATCAGGTCTTGAGAACTTACTATCACAAGAATAGCATGGGGGAAACTGCCCCTAGGATTCAGTTACCTCCCCCACAGTCCCTCCCACCACACATGGGGTTTATGGGAACTACAGTTCAAGATCCAATTTTGGTGGGGGCACAGCCAAAACATATACCCACAGAACTTTATAAAAAAAAGAGTAATCCTAAACATATATAAATTTATAAAATTCATTTGAAGGTTAGGGATGCCAGGATGGAATACAGAGTCTACAAAAGAATCTAACTATACTACAAATGTATGAAACAACATTTGTAGTATGTTGGGATGAAAAATTGCTGACCTCAATAACTTTGGAAATATCAGAACTTTTTAAGACTAAAGGCAGAGAAATTATACATAAACATTATACTCTAGTTGATAAACCTATTTTCTATAGGGGTGCAGGTTAAAAATTCTGAGATTGCTATATATGTATACTTGAATTAAACAACTAAGTAAATGGTTGGAAGATGGTGGGAGCTCAATTTTACACTGTTGGGTTGGAAGGTTACACAAAAGCATTACGAAGAGGTTAAATGATCCATATGATACTAGACTGGAGTGGAAGATGTCAGTATGAACCCATGTTTGGTTTAATTTTGATACAAAAGATAAGGAAATTTACATATAGGAATTTATGTGTGTGCGTGTGTGTATTAATGGGTTATTGTGCCCACATACCATCCCGTTTTTTGTTAGCTGAGAGGGCCTAGAAGCAACAACACTCCAATAGCAGTGAGCATACCTAGTGCCAAACCTTTGTTTCCAATATCATTCCCCAGTGAAAGAAACCCAGCTTCTTGGAAAAATGGCTCATTCTATAACTAGGGCTGGAAATATTCAAGATTATTCTGGAGCATGCCAGAGAGTAAGGAAGTGATAATAAAAACAGAAAAACAAAAACAAAAACAAAAACAGAATAATATCCCATATAGAGGAGGGTATGTCAAAGGGACTCAGGAGCCAATGTAAGTCCTCAGCAGCCTAAGCTGGAACATCTTGAGCTGTAATGTAACATAATGAATAAGGTATCATTAGATTATAGTTTGAACTACAAACTAAATATCGAGTTTGTACTTATAAAAATAAATAAACAGAGAAGGAAAGTTAAATCTCGCATGCAAAAAGTTTCCAAATTACTGTGTAGATAGATACTCTGTCCTCAAAAAGATGGAGAATAACTCCTGCTTTTTAAGCGCAGCCTGTGCATGGCATCTTTCTTCCAAAGAGCATGGGGCAGCATTGGTGCGGAAGTAACTTTATAGTGGAGAAACCTGGAAAACACTGTCTCAGTTAGTTGACTTCAGCAAGGTCAACATCAACAGTGGTAAGTCATGTTGGTAGTATGTACTCCTGATATGATGTAATGAAAACAACACTTTACCTCTATTATCTTCCTTTCTGAAACCCATATCCCAGTCTAATTATAAGAGAAATAGCAGATTGAGAGACACAATGGAAGGATATTATACAAAATACTTGTTCAGTACTCCTTAAAACTGTCTAGGTCCTTAAAGACAAGGTAAGTCTGAGGGAAAGCCACAGCCAAGACAACCCCAGGGGGATATGACAACAAAGTATAATGTAGTCTTCTGGAACAGAAAAAGGATTTAGGTAAAAACAAAGGAAATCTGAATAACTTACGGCCTTTAGTTAATACTGTATTAAACTCTTTCATTAATTATAATGACCGTAGCATATGTAAGATGTTATTTATAGGGGAAAGTGGGTGTGGGCATATGAAAGCTCTGCAATTTTTCAGAAATTCAAAAGTGTTCTAAAATTTTTAAAAAGTTTATTTAAAATTATCTATGTACTTTCTGATTATGGCAAATCCTACAATACTAAAAATTAATATAAAACTCAATTACTATTTGCTTTCTGAAGGCTTGTATGAAGTTGCTGATATCCTGTACTCAGAGCCCACTTCACGTTAATGGAAACTAGAATAATTTTTAAAAACAACTTAAATGAAAGAACTGTAAGTTTTGATGTTATAAGTGCTTCTCTCAAGATGTTTTCAAGTCTTCTCTAAGGACAAGTAACAATACACTTCATCTACAAGAGTTTCCAATATTTTTAGTGTAACCAGTAACAGTGACAGCGACATAATGAAAACAATCATCTTGAAAAGAAGAACAGAAATTTGTAAAGAATATGTGTTTTCTTCTATTTAATTTTCCAGATTATTCTCTGAAGGACATACTTAAAACTAAAAGATGTTGGATCTCCAATATGAATTTGTGTAAGTTTGTCTTCTGAACATTTTTATTATCCTCACATAAACAATTTTTATAGCTCATGGAGCCTGACATATGTTAGTTCTCCTTTGCCTAAAAACACCAAGATCTGGAAAAATCAAAAATAGAGCTTTTTTTAAGTTATAGAATTCTATAAATTTCATAAGTAAAGTTTAATATAACTATTAGTATGAAGTGAACAACCACTAATTTTCTATCATAGAGAAGTAGTAAGAATTACTGGAATCTAAGAAAGTCCCAGAGTAAAATAAATGACTTTATTTTCACCCCTAGGAAACAGAGATATCAGATAATAAACTGTTTTTTTTTCTGGAAAATAATTGACAATAAATTTAAAGATAATTTTATTAAAGAAAAGGTAAATAAACTATTTGCAAAACAAGATTCTAGGCAGAATAGCAATAGCAAAATCAGAGAAATAAAAAAAGGCAATAGCAAAATCAGAGAAATAGGAAAACTTAGGCTAAAAAAACACTTGATATTGATCTTAGCGTACCAGTATGAAAATAGGGAGGAGAATTGAAAGACTTTTTTATTCTGGGGTAATGTGTTTTTATTGCCTGTTTAATAATGAATATCCATAAAGTTTGTGATCAAGGATAATTTTTGAAATAATAATATTTTGAAGAAGTATGAGAAAAACTGGAGTGAGAAAAAGATAGTGGGGAAATATTAGAAATATAGACAAGCCGGTTTTTTTTGTTGTTGTTGTTGTTGTTAAAACTTTTCACTATTTTCCTGTTGGTTTAAAGTCCAAAATTTATTCATCCGTCCACCTATCCATACATCAACCCATTCATTCATCCATTCAGTTATTCAACAAATATTTATGTAAGGACAAGTGATATGGAGAAACAGACAAAACAATCAAAAACATGTGGTCAGAGAAATAAGGAAAAAGGCAGGAGATTGACTGTCTTAGAATCCTGAAGCAGAGATAGTCTAAAGAAGGCATTAAACAGAAACCTTTCAGAGTCAGAGGACACTGAGAATAGGACATTGAGAATAGGACTTTCAATTTGGAGATTTTAAAGTCATATAAAGGCAATCTTGTAGAGATCACTGTTGTGAGAATGCTAATTATAAAGCCAAAAAAAAAAAAGTTAAGAGTCAGGAGGCAGCATGAAGATGGAAATAGTGGTACTATAAAACTGAAATAAAGTACGATTTTTCATGAAATGAAACTTTAAGTGGTTATAACAAAATTATCATCACATTTACTGTTTTAAAACAGGTTAATCAATGTCCTCCACTCTATTTTACAATCAGCTCTTTGAGTGGGTGGGTCTAAAATAAGATTCATGCACAAGGTTTGTGTGCAAACCATGTGATCAGAAGTATTGTTATGGGATGAATTGTGTTCCCCCAGATTTATATGTTGAATTCCTAATTCTCAGAACTTCAGAATGTGAGCTTATTTGGAAATAGGATCATTGCAGAGGTATTTCGTTAAGATCAGTTCATACTGGAGTGAGGTGGACCCGTAATCCAGTTGAATTTGTATCCTTATAAAAAGGGGATGTCTGGACACAGACAGATACACAGGAAGAACATCACATAAACAAGAAGACAGAGATTGGGGTAATGTTTCTACAAGTCAAGGATTAACAAAGATTGCCTGCAAACCACAGAAACCAGGAAAGAGGCCTCAAAGAGATTCTCACTCACACCCTCAGGAGGAACCAACCTTGCTGACCTTAATCTCGGACTTCTGGTCTCCCGAATTGTGAGAAAATAAATTTCTGTTGTTTCAGCAATTCAGTGTATGGTACTTTGTTACAGGAGCCCTAACACAACATGAACGACTGAATCTGCAGAAATTTAATTCTGTTTTCGGATCTAAACACTGGAAAATTGAACAAAGGTAGAAGATTCAGAGGCCACAAAGGCAGTGGAACACTTTGAGTAAAGAGCGTGGGCATCGAAATTGAATATTCCTTCTATTTTCTGGAAAAACAAAACAAAACAGGAACTGTAGGTCACACTTGTGTCCGTATGTTGGTAGTTTTAAGAAAAAGGGCTTGGGTAAAGAGTTTCTCTGAGATTTCTGACTTTTCCATTGATTATAACCATTTCCCATAGCTACTTATAAGTCATGGGCTCCTATGCCTGACAAAATGTATTAAAATATTCAAAGTAAAAATAATCTAGATCTAGAGTCAGCCACACTTGGGATTTCGATTTGCTTGGGAATTTTATATCTGCTGAAACCTGCCTGCCTTGACCTGTTTTTTCCTTCCCATGCTAAATTCCTACATTCTCTATCTTTCATTTCACCCACTTAGGCAGAACTGAAATTGCATAAGCTCCATTTCAAGGCCCTAAGGTCAAGACCCCTGGCTGTTCTTGACCTGCAGCAGCCCTTAACCCTTAGCTCCTGCATCTCCAGCCTGACCATCCGCCAGCTGCTCTTGAGCAGCTTTGTTCATCTGCTCTTCATGCATTCAGTATTAAAGTGAGATTTTATATTTATGCTCATATCAAAACACTAGAAATGATTCACTATTTTTTTATTTGGGGTGAAAAATCTTCAAGGCTCCTTCTTTCAGTATACAACTTTATATTATCATGCAGCATAACTGCAGTAGCACAGTTTGTTCGTTGTCTGATGGCTGAGTCCTCAAAGGCATGTATGTTACATGGTTAGTAATCACATTTATTTTTCATAAAAACAGTAGATAAAGGAGCATAGATTTTAATGACTATGTAAACTCATCTTTTATCAGAAACATGGAAGGGATGCGATGCTATTTTAAAGTAGTATACATTTTTTGACATTTTAAGATTTCTTTGTTGTCTTAAGGCTACTTAAATGATTTCTTATTATTTGCAACTTTTGCTAATAAAATGTTACAAAGCTACAGCTTTTCTGTGTCTGAAGTTTTGCACTATTTGCAGGTGCTCTGCCTTAATAGTGAAGCACTACATTTTCTGAAATATTCCATTACGGTTAACATGAAAAACCCTCATTATTTTTGATACACATTTTTTTATATTTTTGGCTGTTGTACCCAAGACAGGTGGTTGGGGGCAGGATCTTTCTCTCAGTGTTTATGCAGCTTTTGTTTTCAAGTAATCTCCCTGTGGCTCTTCTTACACTTCTACCCTCCATGACAATTCAGTTCACATTAATATGTAATGAAATCCCTTTGCTTTCAGTAAACTATAGGTGATTTTGCTTTCTCCTAATTTTGTTTCAGTTGAGGCATATTTCATCGGGATTTCCTTCTCTCTTAAGTACCTTAGCATCTTTTCTTACAGAACAGATTTATCTTTGAATAGTTAATTAGTAATGAAATTTATATTGTAAATGTAGTAGAACATGAATGAGAGAGAAGGGAATATAAGAAGAGTAAGAAAAAAGCAAAGGAGATAAAATGGAATTCTTCTATACCCATTCGGGAAAGAAAACTAGCAAGGGAGGTGGAAGGAATAATGACGTTGGGGGATAACTCTTCCTCCCACTCCTTAGTGTCCCATGGGGAAGGACTTTCTAGGGTGATCCTGACTTCTTCCCTGTTCCCTTTTGGTGCCCAGCCTATTAGATAAAATCATATGTGATAGGTGAATATGAGAAAAGGAATTGATTATTCTTGCCCATTCCCATTGGGTTTTCTTTGCCTCTCTATGTCATAAGTGTTAGAGGCACAGCCTTTTTGGAGAAACCCTAGAATTTTCAGCATAGTCGGTGGCAAGATGGATAAATTTAATTCTGAGTACACCATTAAGAAGCCCACTGTTGCCATAGATCTAACCATGCTTCCCAGTCTGACCTGTTATTTTGATCTCCATTTGTGTGAATCTTGGCCCTCACCCTGTGATTTCTGTATTTGTCAAGAAAATAGGGAAGTTATTTATTGACCTCCTACAATGCCAAAAGTAAACAGTGGAATGTTTTATGGGGAGTAGTTGGGTTCCCTCCAAATTTTCCTTGGTTAGATAGTAGAGCTATCAATGGGGACTGTCCACCTTCCACCCCCATTAAGTGAACGGATCCATTCAGCCTTGTTCAAGAGACATTGATTTCTGTTGCCATGTGTTGTATCAAATAATCTAACTCCTTGACAACAAACAACTAGACTAGGTTAATTTACATTTTGTCAGGTTTGGGAATTTTCCCTGGCATGGGTAGCAGTATCTGTCTTAGGATATCTATAAAAGGACTTCACTACTTTACACCATGCTATTACAGAACAAAAAATAAAGGCAAATACTCTCCTAGGTTTGTAATATCTATTGTTTTCTTGTTACACAACGAAGTTGTCAAAAGATATAATCCTCTAGCAATTCCAAAGATTATATAAAGACATCAGTCTTCATGATTCATAGATTTTTTGGGGAATTATATTAGCAACTAATAAATATTGTTAATAGTATGTGTTAATGGTGCTTTATGATAGAAATATTTCTTTCCAAAATATTGTTTGCTTGTTTTTGTAAAGATACATTGTGAATTTACACTTCTTTCCTCTTTAATGCAATTATACCATATGTCACTTTTTCAACTTTATAAGCTCCTAGAATTCTGGATGTGTTTCCAACAGAGAAATGGTATTTGGCAGTAATCACTGTTGCTGCTGAACAGTGCTAATCTATCTATAGTAGAGATGTTCAGTTTTCATATGTAGTAAAACAGAAACTGAAACTGTAGTGTTAGGAAACATAATTTATAATTTCAAGAGTGAAGGAAAACTCCAAAAGAAAGATAGCTAATAATGAATCCGATCACCAAATACTTGTACAACAATTGATACAGGTCAGTCTTATGCTACCAGCTGGAGACAGACTTATGAACATGATAGAAGAGGATACTACTATTTTTCATTCTAGTGGTGGAATGCAGAAAATAAATACCTAAATTATTTTTTGAAGCATCATCATTTACATATATATACATATACATATACATATACATATATATATATATATAGAGAGAGAGAGAGAGAGAGAGAGAGAGAGAGAGAGAGAGAGAGAGAGAGAGAGAGAGAGAGAGAGAAAGACTAGGCATAGAAATTAACTTGCTTGACCAGGCGCGGTGGCTCCCGCCTGTAATCCCAGCACTTTGGGAGGCCGAGGTGGGCGGATCACGAAGTCAGGAGATCGAGACCAACCTGGCTAACACGGTGAAACCCCGTCTCTACTAAAAATACAAAAAATTAGCCGGGCGTGGTAGCGGGCGCCTGTAGTCCCAGCCACTTGGGAGGCTGAGGCAGGAGAATGGCATGACCCCGGGAAGCGAGCTTGCAGTGAGCCGAGATAGCGCCACTGCAGTCCAGCCTGGGCAAAAGAGTGAGACTCCGTCTCAAAAAAAAAAAAAAAAAAAAAACAAAGAAAGGAAAGAAAGAAAGAAATTAACTTGCTTACTACCGAGTTCTTCAGGATAATTAATTCAAAAGAATGTTTAGTTAGGTCTCAAAATCTCAACTATTTGTCTTCATGTTCAAAACTCAGTGTTTAGATGGTAGCTCTGCCAGAGAGAGAGCAGTGTCTATTAAAATGGACGTGTATTGTCTGACTTTCCTTCTTAAGGTCCTCACCTTCTGTCATCCCATTTACCTTTCTTATCACTGATTTAGTTAGTTACCCAGGACTCTCTTGCCATTCTACTCACTAGACTTTCTGTTCTCTCTTTGATGTCTAATGTTTAACTCTGGTTCTGCACCTCTCTACTGCTGTGGCCATATCTATATCTGTTGCTGATTTAGTGCTGATCTCATGTACCCTTGACTTCTGGCCTGCTGTGTGCACCTAGAAGCTTTTAAATGATAATTACTGTGGAAAAGATTTTGATATAATCAATATGTTACCTTTGTTTCAACCCACTTCTCAGATTCCTCACCCCTTTATTAAGAAAGTAAAAACCTTACTTGTTTGGAGCAACATAATATGAAAGCTATTTAATCGTTTAATGATACTTTATTGATATTGTAGTCTTATGTAAATTTTAGGAAAATTATTCATATATTCGAGCTGCAAGATCCTTCTGCTAATACAAAGCCCTCTTGTCAAACTGAAGTTAGAGTATAAAAGAGTGTATATATTGAATTTTTGTTTGTTTGTTTGTTTGAAGAATGGCTTCAGTGGGAATGGAATCCAATTCACTAAGCATCTATAGACTGTACAAGGTTTACTGTAGAAAATTGAATTTGGGAACTAAATGTTGTTGAATTCATTTGAGTGATTTGCTGCTTTAGCTATACCTCTGCCCCAATTTGGATCATTTAGAGTTTTTATTTCTCCTATTAATTTTTTTCAGTTAAATTCCTCAGCTATTCTTTCCAAAAAGAAATGTTGTCAATGCAATAGCTAGTTGGACTAAAGAGAAAACAGTATGTCTTTTCCAAAAAAAAAAAGGTTGTCACAAAACTTGACATCCTGAAAAATCGAGCCTTTTGTAAGTGCTGCTTATGAGATTTTGTACTTTGGGCCAAAAAGTCAGATGTTAGTAAATGAGCCAGCTTGTCCCCAGTGCCCAAGTCACTGTGAAAGCTCCGTGCAGCCAGCTGGGTTCAGCCAGCCTTGATGAGTGCTGGAGTTTCCCATGGTAACACGGAGCAGCGAATTCAGAACAAAGTGAAAGGTTGGCTTCAGGCTTACAAGACAAATCTCCTCCCTTCATACACTGTCACTGAAGAGGAAAAGTATGAATAGTCTTATTGCTCTTGACCAGCTATATTTATAATTCCACATAAACCAAACCACAAAAAGGCTGCTTAAATTAGATAACTAAATGCATTTTTAAAAAGAATTTAAAATTTGAAAGGAGGAAAAAAAAGCTAAAGGTTATCAAAATCTAAAAAAAGGGTAAGATTAAAGTTCTCCAGTCTCCGTATTAAAAATCTGAAAGGCAAAAGTTAGCACATCTAAATTGAATAAAGAAACATAAAATATATTTTTTCAGACCAAGTATAAACTAGAACTACTTTAACCTTTTCATTGACTTTCTTTTCTATAAGAATGTAAGTTAAATATTTTTTATTTTGGTGAAGAATTCTGGTGAGATAATTGATTAAACAAGTGTTTGTGAACACATGTGTCCATTGAAGTATATCAAATGCGTAATTTGGCACCCCCAAAGTATCCTAAATACCATTCATTTCGTACAATTTATTCTCTGGCAAGATGAAATTCACATAGAAGAACTGTTTTCTTCCTGTTTAAAAAAAAAAAAAAGGAATGTATGCTCTTAGCAGCCAATCTGAGAAGGAGAGAAGTGGTGAGTAGCAGAATGAAATTGGAAATCTTTAGACGTTTCAAAGTGAAGCTAATACAACACAATTCTGAGCTCAGCACATAGACATGCTTGAAGTTTCTGCTTTGTACAACCAGTAATTCTTTAAGAAGAGGCAAGCAACAACAGTCTTGCATCTTTTTCTCAAGTTGTTCACAAAGTGATGACTGTAGCTGTTTGCTTGATAAAACCGAACGATGCCTTTTGATTTCACAGTTTACCTGAAGGCTTGCAGCCAGTAGCTCTTCTTTCTTGGACCCTGCTCTGATGGTAACACAGCACTTTTAAATTTTAAATGTATTGCTCTCTGGTGATGGAGAGATAGCACTACATTATCTTAAGTCTATTTCTAGCCTGACATTCTCCCTTACCTCCACACCACAGGCCACCTCAGGGAAATTCTGCAAAATTAAATTTCATACATTAAAGCTATGTAGATGTAGCATAAATATTTAATAGAAAATAAAGTGACCAAACGTCTAGCAGACTGTACTTTTAAATGTTGTTTCCTAGTTTTAATCAACAGCCTTTATTAGATACCAACTGACTTAGAAGACTTTGTAAAACAGAAGACCTCTTTAGAGATTAAACTTTGATAATAAAATTAAAGACATTTTCCACCATAAAAGAGTTTACTTTCTAACATGGCAATGGAATAAAAAGCATTAAAAGGTAAACACAGAAACATTTTTCTCTTTGGGGTTATTTAGTGTCTGTTAAGTTCCTTCCCAGCCAACATTTTAATTACTCTTCTTCAAGAGGGGACAAAAAGAGAATGAGTAAATAAAAATAATGTGAGCCACATTAATGAAATATTTCAGAGTAGCTGTGGCCAAGAGTAGCTATTTTTCTCTTATCTTGAAATAATATGACAGAAAAATGACATTGATAACTACTGAAAAAAAGTCAGCTGAATATTACATTGTCTTATTATACAGTAACAAAGTCATGAGGCTTTCTATTTATCTCTCTCACCTCATAAAAATAATAACCTTTTCTTCAGTGAAATTTTCAAGCATCCTTTTAATCTATGGTAATTACAAATGATGAGTGTGAAATATATTTTAAAAGATTTGCAACAATTCTGGCTTGTAATAATTTGTACATTTATTTTTTAAGGAGAGTTAATCTTTGAAAATGTAACAAGGTAGTTCTAAGGTCACAGAGTTGATAACACAGGAATTTTGTTTTTTTTTTAAACTGTTATATACCAGATATTTTACCTATTTTTTGAAAAATACAATTATCTACAATGCTCTTTAATTCAGTTTTTAAATTTTTTTGTATATTTTTAAAATTTTTGCAGTTACATAGTTAAGTGTATATATTTATGGAGTACATGAGATGTTTTGATACAGGCATGCAATGTGAAATAAGTAGATCGCAAGGAATAGGGTATCCATCTCCCAAGCATTTATCCTTTGAGTTACAAACAATGCAATTACACACTTTAAGTTATTTAAAAATGTACAATTAAGTTATTAATGACTATAGTTACCCTATTGTGCTATCAAATAGTAGGTCTTATTCATTCTTTCTATTTTTTTTTTTTTTTTTTTTTTTTTTGAGATGGAGTCTCACTCTGTCGCCCAGGCTGGAGTGCAATGGCGGGCTCACTGCAACCTCCGCCTCCTGGGTTCAAGAGATTCTCCAGACTCAACCTCCCTAGTAGCTGGGACTACAGAAGAGCACCACCACTCCTGGCTAACTTTTGTATTTTTAGCAGAGACGCTGTTTCTGCATGTTGGCCAGGCTGATCTCGAGCTCCTGACTTCAGGTGATCCACCCGCCTCGGCTTTCGAAGTGCTGGGATTACGGGCGTGAGCCACGGCGCCTGGCTGTTTCTATTTTTCATACCTATTAACCATCCCCACCTCCTCCTGAGCCTGCCACTACCCTTCCCAGCCTCTGTTAACCATCCTTCTACACTCTGTGTCCAAGAATTCAATTGTTTGTTGTTGTTGTTGTTGTTGTTGTCATTGTTGTTGTTTTGATGGAATCTCGCTCTGTCGCCCAGGCTGAAGTGCAGTGGCCCAATCTGGGCTTACTGCAAGCTCCGCCTGCCAGGTTCACACCATTCTCCTGCCTCAGCCTCCCAAGTAGCTGGGACTACAGGCGACTGCCACCACACCCGGCTAATTTTTGTATTTTCAGTAGAGACGGGGTTTCACCATGTTAGCCAGGGTGGTCTCAATCTCCTGACCTTGTGATCTGCCTGCCTCGGCCTCCCAAAGTGCTGGGATTACAAGCATGAGCCACCATGCCCGGCCATGAAATTCTTGTAGTGTGTTTTTCAGCTCTATCAGGTAGTTTACATTCATCTCTATACTGGCTATTTTGTCTGTCACCTCCTGCATTGTTTCCTCTTGTTTTTATTTTCATAGTCTCTTCTCAGGCTAATTTAATTCCCAAGCCTCAGTCATTATTATTATACTAATTATTGGTAAGTGAAATGTCTGGCATAGACATCTGTAATGAATTCAATACACTAGATTTTTCCAAGAGACTTCAAACACATGGTATCCAATACGTCCAATTTCAAGCTATTCTTCTATACCTGATTTTCTAGCTGTTTACTTAGCAAATTACACCATCCTCCAAGTAAATATTGTATGTAAAAATTCCACCCCCCTTACCATCCTCTCTCACTATTTACAATGCACTCCATGTTCAATTAGCATTACCTTTTAAATATTTCTCATATTGTTCCACTATGCTAAATCTCCTTTGTCACAAGTCTAGTACCAGCTATCACCATCTTTCAACTTGATTGCTATAAAACCTAATTTACTGCCCATTATTTATTCTGATCCACTTCCAATCTAATCAACACACCGAAACTAGAAAGGCATTCTTGATGCATGCATCAGATCACATGCCATGTAAGCTAAAACCTTTCAGTGGCTGGCCACTGCTTATAAGGTAAGGATTACACTCTTTGATATAGCCTACAAATTCCTCGATTGCCTGTCCATCAGGAGTACACATTACTACCCTATCTAAGTGAGGTGTGTAGCTTGAGGTACAGGAGAGATTTGTGGGTGGTGTACAGTTCTTTTCATCCGGTATGACATCCTACTCTGACAACTAATAGACAAAAGACAATGATCTACTCTCCAGTGATCAATTATGGGAGACTTGCAAACTGCACTGAAAGTCTTATTGGGAAAAGGATGTATTGCAGAGTCCATAGCAATAAGAAAATCCTATGAAATTGGCTTTGTAAAATTCTCTAACCTGGTAGTAGAGAAACTTACCTGAGTAGACCCTGACTCTTCTATCAGGGAACAAATCTTTTCTCCAATTTTTTTCTCCTGAGGTCCATTGCCTCATTTGAAATGAACATTAGGGAATATGTCCTCCTTGGAGAATGTCCTCCTCCTGACATTCTATAGCCACATTCTGCAAGTGGAAGATTGAGAGTATTTTTAGGCCAGGATGTGGTTTAGTTTGCTTCACATTTCTTGCACAAATCAATCTAAGCAACTCATTCAGTACCACATATCTGTAACTATACTAAAATTCTTTGCTAACGGTAAATATCTAGCATGATTTATTTGTTACGATCTTGCCTCCTTGTCTTTTTCTTTCTCCCTCTGAAATTAACAACAGCCATCTTGAGGCTCAGGGATTTTAACTCTGTCAATGTGTCTCCTTGCTCTTCAACCCCTCTCTGCTCAGGGCTAAGTCCTTATTCAACTATAAGATCTTAGTGGGCCTTTTTGAGTTTGGGATTTAAAAGCAGTTGGCTTTTCTAACCCTGCAAGACCCAGGTTTTTGAATTCTCCAGATATAAATTCACTGTGCTCTCAAAATAGCTAATGCTTCCGAGTTCATCTCTTTCTTGTAACACCTTGCTATAAGCTTGACTTTATGAACAGCATACATCACTAATATTCTGCTATTTAGCTTTTTTCTTCTGTGATTATCCGGATTTTCAAAGAAAATAATTTCACAAAATATATACAATACTGTAAAATATTGAACAATATGCATTTCCATCTTTCCAGCCTTGACTTCCACCTGATAACTAACCCAACTGAGGATGTTAACTTGTTTTTATTTTTATAAGGTATAATTTACATGTAGAGAAATAAACAGATCTTCTTCCATAGTTTAATATATTTTAACAAATATGTAAACTCATGTAACTAACACCTTAATCAAGATTTAGAATTGTTTTGTCATCCCGGAAACTTCTCATACCTCTTTCCAGTCAATGTCCCCACACCAAGAGGCATCTGGTGTTTTGACTTTTATTGCCACAGATTTGTCTTGTCCTTTGTTGAAATTCATATAAAGCAAATCATGTGGATGTACTCGTTTGCATATGCTTCTTTTGTTCTATGTAATATTTTTGAAATTCATTTATTTTGTTGTATATATCAGTTGTCAATTTTAATTGTTGAGTAGTATTGCATTTACAAATATACCAAAACGGCCAGGTGCGGTGGTTCATGCCTGTAATCCCAGCACTTTGGGAGGCTGAGGTGGGTGAATGACCTGAGGTCAGGAGTCTGAGACCAGCTTGGCCAACAGGATGAAATGCCATCTCTACTATAAATAGAAAAATTAGCCAGGGATGGTGGCATGTGCCTGTAGTCCCAGCTGCTCAGGAGGCTGAGGCAGGAGAATTGCTCGAACCCAGGAGGTAGAGGTTGCAGTGAGCCAAGATCATGCCACTGCACTCCAGCCTGAGCAACAGAGCAAGACTAAAAAAAAATACGTATATATACACACACATATATATTTGGTATTTGGCATATATACATATACATATATATATATATAAACAAAAAATTTTAAATCATCTATTGATAGACACTTGGGATATTTCCAGTTAGAGCTAATGTAAATAAATCTACTATGAACATTCTTGTACTAGTCTTTTTGTGAATATATGTTTTTATTTCTTTTTAATAAATAAATGGAAACAGAATTGATGGGTCATAGAAAAGTGATGTGGAACTTTATAAGAAACTGCCAAATAGGTTTCCAAATTGGTACAATTTATTATTTCTACTGTCAATGAGCCACAGTTCTGCTTGCTTCACATCCTCACCTATATTCATGTTTTCAGTTATCATTATTATTTTTTAACTTTAATTATGTTAGTTGGTATGTAGTGGTTTCAAATAGCTTATTCATTTCCTCTGATGACAAATAGTTTGAACACAGTTTTATTTACTTACTATTAATTTGTATGCCTTTATTAATAAAATATCCAAATCAGGCTGGGTGTGGTGGCTCATGCCTGTAATCCCAGCACATTGGGAGGCTGAGGCAGGAAGATTGCTTGAGTCCAGGAGTTCAAGACCAGCCTCAACAACATAGTGAGAGCCCATCTCTCAAAAAGTTCAAACAATTCACTGGAAAAAAAATATTAGCAGGGAGTCGTGGCACACGCCTGTAGTCCCAGCTACTCTGGGGCTGAGGTGGGAGGGTTGGTTGAGCCTGGGAGGTCGAGGCTGCAGTGAGCTATGATAATGCCACTGCCCTCCAGCTTGGGTGACAAAGTGAGACCCTGTCTCAACCAAATAGTTAAAAATAATTTTAAAAAATCTAAATCTTTTTCTGATTGCTTAATTGGGTGATTTAATTTTTAATATTGAGTTTTGGTTCTTAACATGTATGTATGTCTTTTGTCCAACATGTATTGTAAATATTTTATGTAATCTGTAGCTTATGTGTTTTGCAATAGTGACTTTTTTGGTTTACTCTTATTTTTAGCTTTTTAAAAAATAATTCCTACTTTTAATTTAGATTCAGTGCATGTGCAGGTTTTTTACATGGTCATATGGAATGAGGTTTGAGATAGTAATGATCCCATTGCTAAGGTAGTAAGCATAGTGGCTTTTGATGAAGATAAATCTTTTCATTTTGAAAAAAAACAGTTCAACAATTTGTAATGACTATATGTTTGCATGTCTGTGTGTGTGTGTGTGTGCGTGTGTATGTGTGCTGTCAAAGGTATTTTTGCAAACCACAGGATCACAAAGATTTTCATATATATATATATATATATATATATATATATATATATATATATTTATGAAACACCTTCATTGAGATATGCTACATACCGTAAAATTTACCTTTTTGAATTGTAAAATGTGTTAGATTTTAGTATAATTACAGGCATGTACAATCACTGTAATGTAATTTTAGAAGGTTTTATTACTCTCAAAGAACCCTGCACCCATTAATGCTCACTTCCCACTCTGCCTTCCTCAATTCCCAGCTGTTGCTATTAGGAATCAGCCAGTAGAAGGGAAGAAACTGATTCATAGACATAACAAGCGAGGACTCCTGGGGAAGTTTTACAATCTAACAGGTAGGCAGGAAGATATGGTACTGGATTTCAGGCACTTGGTTGGCTCTCTTCTCAGTGGAGTGGGAAGCATAAGCATCCTCGTAAGAATGAGAATAGATGAAGAGGAAGGAAGTGTTGGAGTTCTAATGGTAGAGATGAAAGTATAAAAACATTGTCCAGACAAGTAGATGTGACTGAACTGAAGAAGCATAGCTGATTGTTGGGTAGCATGAAGAGCCCATTTAAGGTTTGTGGTCGTATATTTCAATTTTGGCCAGATAGTATGATTGGGCATAATTTGCCAGCAATGTTTTGAGTGAAGGGAAGTATGGAATAGGCAGAGAGTTGGGATTAACTGTGGTTGGGATTTTATCAGCGGAGAATGGCAAAGCCAAAAATGGCAAGGACATTAGAGACTTATGTGAAAAAGTATTGCTTTTGATGGGCCAAGGAATTTAAGCTGAATAGGGTAGAAATTTTTGACAAGATTAGTACATTGGGCAGTGAAAATATGGTAGAGACTACAGATTATAACTCTGGATGTGGTTGAATAATTAATTATTGCAGTCAAGGTATCAGAAGGTATTTCTTTACATTTTGTTTTGATCCTGCAAGTACCATGCTGCAGCAAGTGCGGCTGTTTTTGGAGTCTATTATTTTTTCAATTAAACTACATTCAGACTCATTTTGGTCCCAATTTTAAAATTCCTTCTTTCTCCTTTTTACCACCAGCAAACACACTAAGTAAACATTGAGTTAGCAAATGATTGAAAATAGATAGTACTGATATTTCCAAGTCAATTTCCTCATGCTACTTGGTTTTACTCCTGAATCCAAGAACTGAAACTTATTCAATGTAAGTTAAATACATTTAGAAAATGGGAATATTTATAATAATAAAGCTTAAAGAAAGTAAATGTAGTAAAGTCGGGTATCATGAAATCAGTGTCTAGAAATGTATTAGTTCATTCTCACACTGCTAATAAAGACATACCCGAGACTGGGTAATTTATTAAGGAAAGAGGTTTAATGGACTCACAGTTCAGCATGGCTGAGGAGGTCTCACAATCATGGTGGAAGACAAAGAAGCAGCAAAGGCACATATTACATGGTGGTAGGCAAAAGAGAGCTTGTGCAGAAGAACTCCCATTTGTGAAACCATCAAATCTTGTGAGACTTATTCACTATCACAAGAACAGTATGAGAAATACTGCCTCCATGACTCAACAATCTCCACCTGGCCCTACCTTTGACACCTGGGGATTATTACAATTCAAGGTGAGATTTGGGTAGGAAGACAGCCAAACCATATCATTCCAGCCCTGTCTTCTCCCAAATCTCATGTCTTCACATTTCAAATCCAGTCATGCCTTTGCCACAGTCCCCAAAGTCTTAACTCATATCAGCATTAATTCGAAAGCCCACAATCCAAAGTCTCATCTAAGACAAGGAAAGTCCCTTCCACCTATGAGCCTATAAAATCAAAAGCAAGTTAATATACTTCCTAGATACAATAAGGGGTACAAGCATTGGATAAATACACCAATTCCAAATGGGAGAAACTGGACAAAACAAAAGGTCTACAGGCCTCATGCAAGTCTGAAATCCAGCAGGGCAGTCAAATCTTAAAGCTTCAAAATGATCTCCTTTGACTCAATGTCTCATATCCAGATCACGCTGATCAAGAGGTGGATTCTCATGGTCTTGGGCAGCTCTGCCCTGTGGCTTTGCAGGATACAGTCTCCCTCCCAGCTGCTTTCACAGGCTGGATTGTCTGTCCGGCTTTTCCAGGCACACAGTGCAAACTATCAGTGGTTCTACCATTCTAGGATCTGAAGGACAGTGGTCCTTATCTCACAGCTCCACTAGGCAGTGCTCCAGGACTCTGTGTGGGGCTCCAACCCCAGATTTCCCTTTCATATTGCCCTAGCAGAGGTTCTCCATGAGAGCGCCACCCCTGCCACAGACCTCTGCCTGGACATCCAGGCATTTCCATACATCTTCTGAAATCTAGGTGGAGATTCCCAAACCTCAATTCTTGACTTCTGTGCACCCGCAGGTTCAACACCAAGTGGAAGCTGCCGAAGCTTGGGGCTTGCACCCTCTGAAGCCATGGCCTGAACTGTACCTTGGCCCCTTTTAGCCATGGCTAGGACACAGGGCACCAAGTCTTGAGATTGCACAAAGTACAAAGGCCCTCGGCCTGGCCCAGGAAACAATTTTTTCCCCCTAGGCCTCCAGGCCTGTGATGGGAGGAGCTTCCATGAAGACTTCTAACATGCCCTGGAGATATTTTCTCTATTGTCTTGGCAATTAACGTTTGACTCCTCATTACTTATGCAAATTTCCTCAGTTGGCTTGAATTTCTCCTGAGAAAATGTGTTTTTCTTTTCTACCTTATCATTAGGCTGCAAATTTTCTTTTCTTTTCTTTTCTTTTCTTTTCTTTTTTTTTTGAGATGGAGTCTTGCTCTGTCTCCCAGGCTGGAGTGCAGTGGCCCATTCTCAACTCACTGCAAGCTCCGCCTCCCAGATTCATGCCATTCTCCTGCCTCAGCCTCCCGAGTAGCTGGGACTACAGGTGCCCGCCACCTCTCCCGGCTAATTTTTTGTATTTTCTAGTAGTGATGGGGTTTCACCATGGTCTCGGTCTCCTGACCTTGTGATTCGCCTGCCTCGGCCTCCCAAAATGCTGGGATTACAGGCATGAGCCACCGCACCTGGCTAAATTTTCTTAACTTTTATGTTCTGCTTCCCTTTTAAACTTAAGTTCCAATTCCAAACCATATCGTTGTGAATACATAAGATTGAATGTTTTTAACAGCATCTAAGTCAACCCTTGAACACTTCACTGCTTAGAAATTTCTTCCACCAGATATCCTAAATCATCCCTCTCAAGTTCAAATATCCACAAACCTCTAGGGCAGGAGCAAAATGCAGCCAGTCTCTTTGCCAAAACATAGCAAGAGTCACTTTTATTCCAGTTCTGAACAAGTTCCTTATCTCTATCTGTAATGAGCTGCATTTTGTCAAAGCCATTCAAAAAGCCTCTAGGAAGTTCTAAACTTTCCCACATCTCCCTGTATTCTTCTGAGCCTTCCAAACTGTTCCAACCTCGGCCTGTCACCTAGTTCTGAAGTCGCTTCCACATTTTCGGGTATCTTTAGAGCAGTGCCCCAGTATTCGGTACCAATTTACAGTATTAGTTCATTCTCATGCTGCTAATAAAGACATACTGGAGACTGAGTAATTTATAAAGGAAAGAGGTTTAGTGGATTCACAGTTCAGCATGGCTGAGAAGGCCTCACAATCATGGCAGAAGGCAAAGGCACATCTTATGTGGTAGCAGGCAAAAGAGAACTTGTGCTGGGGAACTCCCACCTGTAAAATTATCAGATCTTGTGATACTTATTCACTACCTTGAGAACAGTATGGGGGAAACTGCCCTCATGATTCAATTATTTCCACCTGGCCCCACCCTTGACATGTGGGGATTATTACAATTCAAGGTGAGATTTGAGTGGGGACACAGCCAAGCTATATGAAGAAGGATAGGGATTAAAATTATGTTCTCCACCTTTAAGGCTAGAGTTATCTAGCCTATCTCATCTAAGTTAAGATTCTCTTCTCTCTGGGCTGGACTATACAACATACAGTTGCACTTTCAAGGCTGCCACTTCCAGGACTCCAAGTTTCTATAGTTGTAGGACCCCTGACCATTTGACTAGCTTGTGTGTGTGGTTATTTAAGTGTGATAAGAACCTGATTGGCTAAATTAACTCTTCAGATTTGGTCAGATATACACTACCAGCCCAATCAGCTGTGTCCAGAGCTGGGCAGTGGAGGTTGTATGTCCATCCCTTCAGCAGTTCAATTAAGATATATTGATTGGGCAAAATACCTCCAATAATTTGATTATTTAACTCACATTCATTAGCATCTAAAACTGAATTAGTTAACGTCTTCTCCAAATAAGCTACTTATTGTTTTTTTACATGTACACCACTTTCGCAGTTACCAAAGTAAACCTTTCACATTATTCTTAGCGCTTTGTTACCTTTGCCTGTTTTATCTAGTTATTTGTTTGTTCATAATTGATCCCTTTTATTCCCTTCCAGTTATCACCAATTTAATGTAGGCTCTGTGATTATCATTTTTCAACTAGGCTAAGCTGTGGCACCTAGCTACTCAAACGCTAATGTAAGGGGGTGTTGTGCAGTTATTTTGTGAAGTGATTAATATCTACAGTTAGTTGACATTAAGTAAATGAGATCATCCAATTAGTTGAAAGGCTGATCTTTAAGAGCAAAATTGAGGTTTTCCCAAGGAAAAAAGAAACTCCACTGGTAGATTGCAGAGTCACCTTCTGCCCTAGAATTTCCAGCCTGCCAAATCTCTCTCTTGATGTATACTGTGACAATACTGGAGATACACACACACAGAGACACACACACATATACAGACACACACATATCCTACAGGTTCTGATACAATCCCTTATAGCAGAGTCAAATGGAGAAATCGTTTTAAAAAAAGGTGCTCTATTTTTTTGTTTATATTTCTGTATATATGACTGTACCTGTTACCTGCATGAAAGAGTAGGGACAGGCAGCCAGGCGCGGTGGCTCATGCTTGTAATTCCAGCACTTTGGGAGGCCAAGGTGAGCGGATCACCTGAGGTCGGGAGTTCGAGACCAGCCTGACCAACATGGAGAAACCCCGTGTCTACTAAAAATACAAAAATTAGCTCAGTGTGGTGGTTCATGCCTGTAATCCCAGGTACTCGGGAGGCTGGGTCAGGAGAATCATTTGAACCTGGGAGGCGGACTTTGCGGTGAGTCGAGATCACACCATTGCACTCTATCCTGGGAAATAAGAGTGAAACTCGGTCTCAAAAAAAAAAAAAAAAAAAAGTAGGGACAGGCATATCTTTATTAGAATAATCAAGTAATAAAAATATATATAGCTAATATTAAACATCCAACAACCAAAATAAGATTGTACATCAAAATACTAGGCTTTATTATTAGATTTGGACAGCAAACAAACTTTGCGAATTTCTCTAAAATAATATGAACCAAGTCTAAAGACCTAGATTATAGAATTTCTTCTGTAGTTCTAGAGAAGATATCCCTTTTACCAATGACAGTTACAAGGTTTTCTGTTTAAGAGTAGTAAGAATATATGATAGAAGAAGAAAAAGATTTAAATTTGCCTTTTTAGGCATGAACTTCAAAAGCACTGCTACTTGGTAATTGATCAATTTTGGGGAAATATGCGCTGAGAGATGGAGTAGCTCAGAACATTGGACTTGTGTCATGCTTCTCTTGGGATACTAGCAAGGGGCTGTAAGCTTGTAGGGAGGTCTGAAAGGAACCACTTCTAAAATAGCATAGACTCATTGGTAGGAGGGATCCAAACACGTGGGCCTGGAACAGAGGTCCTGGCTATCAACTATTACGTAGTGTGCAGGAACCCCAAAAGATTCTATCTGCCCTGAGGGCATAGATATGACCAGTATGATAGGTACTAGTATGTCATCTCTAACCACCCACAATCTTAATCCAAAGAGTCAGGGAGAACAAATTGCAGCCTATCAATCACTGATTCAGTTTTTAGACAAGACAAACACCTCAAATATCATAATTTGTGTGGTTCCCGAAGATCCTCGCACTATGAGTTCCTGTTTTTGTATTAAATCTCCAAAGTCATTTAAACATTGCTTCCTCTACCACACAGTCAGATGCCATTTTACAGAGGAGCAGGATGAGGAAGGGGAAATCTGAAGGAACTTTCACAAAGGGTCTGAATGTTTACATTGGTAGATCTTTTATATTATTACATTGGGCCATATTTATTAGATTGGGTTAAAGTCAGTTCACAACAGCTTTATTTCTACCTTTATTAAGGCTCTCATCATACTCTACTTGGTTTGGATTGTTTATACCTATGTGTTTATCCCACAAGACATGAGAATATAAATGACAACCATGACATCTTCATTTTTATATCCCCTAAGGTACCCACTAACATTATTGGTACATAGCCATCTTTTAATTTGAAGTCTCAAGAGGAAAAGTAGGTCAAAAAATCAACACAGCAGCTTATCCTGGGTATGGATACTGATGTCAGTACAGGAGTTGTCTGTGCTCTGTTCAGGTATTAGGTAGCCTGGAATGGTCAGTTAAAGGCAAGTTGAGATGAGATGGCCCCAGGAGGAAATCAAGTTTTATGATAGTCTGCTACTGAAGCAAAGGAGTGGGCTACAAAGTACTCAAAATTTTAATTCTATCCTCCAATGCCTAGCTAAAATGCTGTGAAGTATAAATGGATAACAGAAATATTATCTGCACTATCCATTGGACAGTTTTATAATATCTAATAACCTTTGAACTCACATTACATTCCAATTTAACTCACTGTTATTAACTGATTTTTCATTTGACTGAGCATTTTCTTCTCATCTAAATTATGAGTTCTTTGAGAACAAAATATTAGCATCTTTTTGTATTCCCTGAAGGCCTTCTTATAGTAGACATTTAACAATATTAGTTGGTTAATGAATAGCTTAATTTATGTCCTGGTGGCAGGAAGATAACTAACTATGCAACTGTCTTGAAACAATGCCCTAGAAAAAGCATATCTAGATTTTGTCTTGAAATTTTCATAAGCAACAACCAGGAATTGCCTCTTGCAATTTATCATATTACAAGAGGAAAAAGAGAAAAATCAAATAGGAAGACACAGCACAAACGTGGTTTTGATATATGAAAACATATGAATATTATACTTCCAATGGTTCTGAAGAATATGATTTTATGATTAATCCACATACTTAGAATTTCAATGAAGGAACGCCAACACAATACCCTATTACAGATTTTAAAAAATCAATGTTAATGGCATATTCTATCTTTGGAAGTTTGGCCAAACTCATCATACGCTGACTAGGAAAGACAAATAGGCAGAAGCTGAGTTGATTAGGAGATACAGTTCAATGCTAACACAACTCATGATTCTAGTCATGAAGAGAGGCAGTGGAGACACACAGAGAAATGGAAAGATTATGAGTTAGATAAAAGAGAATAAAAAATTAGAGCTTTGCACCTGTATGTTACTGGTTCACAATGTCACTGAGCAAATCTGAAGACCATGGACTCTACTTTGAATTACACTTGAGATCTAAACTTGACAACATATTATTAACTGTAAATGACTTAGGAAACTATTACCTGGTATGATTTTTATAGGCACTTCCTGGATTAATTCACTAATTGTTGAGGTAGCATGGTGAAATTACTAATTGGATATGACATTTCTATGAAATGCTATTAAAAATACTGCAGTGCCTATTGCCAGGTGAATTGGGTATGTACTTCCTACTATGTCAAGTGACAAATTTAAAGGTGACTAAAAAAACTGTCAATGAATTCAAAATTCCCTGAGCAGGACTATTTCTCTGACAAAGTAAGATAGGTAAGGCATTGGAACTTATTCAAGTACTCTATAATCATAAACTTGCATCAGCACTTATACCTGTATTCTAATAAAAAAGAATGCTTCTTAAGAGTGAATATGCAGGAAAATGTGTTTAACCTGAGAGAGAGAGAAATGGCTGCTTTTCCAAAAGGATGTTTTTTACTACGTATTAACTTGCCTGAAATTATATTATTATTAGAGCCATTCATTTGCATTAGGAAATTGGTTCCAGAAGGCAGCTCTGAAAACACGCTATGTTATCTTAAATTATGAGTCCTATGCTCATATAAGCAAGCAAATTTTGGATTTGGAAGAAAGAAAATCAACTTCCAATAAGTTCCTTGGTAGGTCAGCCCCTATACATGGCATTCTAAAGCATAAGAAAGAATGTTATGGGCCAGGTGCAGTGGCTCACGCCTGTAATCCCAGCACTTTGGGAGGCCGAGGCGGGCGGATCACGAGGTCAGGAAATCGAGACCATCCTGGCAAACACGGTGAAACCCCGTCTCCACTAAAAATACAAAAATTAGCCGGGTGTGGTGGCGGGCGCCTGTAGTCCCAGCTACTCAGGAGGCTGAAGCAGGAGAATGGCGTGAACCCGGGGGGCGGAGCTTGCAGTGAGCGGACATCGCGCCACTGCACTCCAGCCTGGGCGACAGAGCGAGACTGTCTCAAAAAAAAAAAAAAAGTTATGAAGAGCATAGCTGTGCCTTCCTCATCCTCAATACCTTGACACCAATGTGCTGATCCATGTAGGTAGGCAATGAGCAGGAAATAGTTACTGAATGAGAAATTTTATTTAGTCTCACCACAACCATAAAAGGGAAATATTTTTGTCTTTTTGAGCATCCCCCGATTTAGTAGAAATAATATAAGCTGTTCAAGGTCATACATCTCATAATTGGCTAGAGCCAGGGTGACAAAAGACCAATGCATACCACCATAGTGCTGCTGCATGAGAAAGGTGGAAATGTCTTACTTCTCTCACTTTGGCAATATAAAAGTTAATGACCACAAGTGTTAAGTGACCTGTGCAATGGCCCAAGAACACAGTGGTTTACAAAGTGGGCTGATTCTAGTAAAATCCCTCTTTACCATAAGCAGTCAACTAAGGTGCAGATTGTTCATGTTACGGGCTCATAGATTTCTATTTCTGGAATATGCCTTATAGATTGTTTACCCAGAGGTTTTCAATTTCTCTCATCTATCCCCACCTAATTCATTAGGAATCCAACTCCAAAAGAGCATATCACATATTCACTTGTTTATCATTACATACTATGCTACTGCACTAATTCAGGCTATCCAGGTTAGAATACTGCTTCTAGACTCCTAATTAGTCTCCATGTTTCTTCCTCCCTGACTTCACCTCTTTCCCATGTCTTTTTAGCTAGCAGCAGGAATAATAGTTTTAAAATGCAAACCAGATTATATTACTATCTCACCCAAACTCCCCCAGTGGCATCTCATGGTCTACAGTGGCCCTGCATGATCTGGCTTTGGTTACTTATCACACCTCAGGTGTCCTACAGTCTTCCCCTTGGTCACTCTTCTCTAGTCATACCAGCTTTCTTGCATTTAAAAAACATGCCAAGCATGTTCCTGTCTCAAGGAATGTTCTATTATTTCCCCTGTCTGAGGACTGCTCTTTCCACAGACCTTCATTCTCTGTTCATTCAGGTCTTTGCTTAAAGGTTAACTCTTCAGAGCAGCCTTCCCTGACCACCTTATCCAAGTCACTCCACCCACCCAACCTTATGCCCATTTACACTCCTTACTTTGCTTTATTTCTCTTCAGAGCTCATCTCCACCTAAAACTAAGATACATACATATTCATTTATTTGTTATACTATTTTTATAATGTCCATGGAAATAGTGACTTCATCTATCTTGTGTACTCTTGTACCCTCACGGCCAAGAACAGTGCATGCACAATGATGAAATATTTGGTGAATGAATGAGCAGCCTTTGTGGTGAATGAATCTCACTAACCCTTCAAAGCCTTAGTGAGAATTCTAGAAAAGGGGGGCTTCTTCAGTTGTCACTCCCACAAAATGAAAAATATAATTAACATAAGCGACATGGCCAAATAAACTGAGACGGAAATGAGGTCCAATTTCATTTTCAAATCGTACAACTAGGCCCCAGAGATGTGCATTAGTTATTTTTAGTTATTTCCTTCCTTCCTTCTCCTCCTCTTCTTTCTTTCTTCCTTCCCCTTTCTTTCTCTTTCTTTCTTTCCTTTTTTCTTTCTTTCTTTCTTTCTCCTCCTCCTTCCCCTCCTCCTCCTCCCCTTCTTCTTCTTCCTCTTCCTCCTCCTCCTCCCCTTCCCCTTACCCTTCCCCTTCTCCTTCTCCTTCTCCTTCTCCTTCTTCTTTCTTCTTCCTTCTCCTCTCTCTCTCTCTCTCCCCCCCACCACTTTTCTTTCTTTTTTTGACACAGGGTCTCACTGTTGCCCAGATTTAGTGCAGTGGCATGATCATGGCTCATGGCAGCCTTGACTTCCTGGGCTCAAGCAATCCTCCCACCTCAGCCTCTTAGAGTACTTGGCAGGACAGGCATATGCCACCACACTTGGCTAATTTCTTTTCTTATTTTTTATAGTGACAGGGTCTCCACTATGTTGCCGAGGCTTGTCTTGAACTCCTGGATTCAAGTGATCCTCCTTCCTTAGCATCCCAAAGTTCTGGAATTACAGACGTGAACCATCTTGCCCAGATCACTAATTTTCTTAGTATAATACAACTGATCAATGGTAGGGCCAAGAGCAGAGCTCAGATATTCAGTGTTCTTCCCTCTACCCTATATAGAGTTTAAATAGTCTCAGATTTTAGAATAAAGATTAAATATTTCTGGGATAATCTCTTATTAGAAGAAAATGCTACTTTTTAACATTTTATTAATGTAGAATTTGGAATTGATTATAAATATTAGTGGAGAGGAGGGAAATATCTGTAGCTAGAAAGAGTTGGCTGGTGTCAGTCTACACCTTCCACATTTAAAGCAACTCATTGTTAGGGCATTCATTCCTCTCATCCTCAGTAGGCTTGGTTTCACACTATCCTTGAAATGTCCTTACAAAGCCAGGAATTTTCTATAAAATCAAACATGATGTTTAATATAAATCAGTCTTCTGGATCCTCTTTCTGATTGGCCCAGGGCTGATTATGCAAGGTTATTGCTTGAATACTGGAGTGACTGAGTCCTCAGTGCCACACACTCCAGTTGCCAGAAACAGACTTTTATTTAGCCTCACCACATAATAAAAGGGAAGTTTATTATTATTATTATTAGTAGTATTATACTTTAAGTTCTGAGATACTTGTGCAGAACGTGCAGGTTTGTCACATAGGTATATATGTGCCATCGTGGTTTGCTGCACCCATCAACCCATCATCTGTTTTAAGCCCTGCATGCATTAGGTATTTGTCCTAATGCTCCCCCTCCCCGTGCCCTCCACCCGCTGACAGGCCCTGGTGTGTGATGTTCCCCTCCCTGTGTCCATGTGTTCTCATTGTTAAACTCAAAAGGGAAGTATTTTTATCTCTACAAAAGTATTTTGTAATGTCGAATTTGGAATTGATTATGAGCATTAGTGGCGAGGAGGGAATTGTCTGTAGCTAGGAAGGGTTAGCCAGTGGCTAACCCTTGATTTGCTCTTGCAAGTTCCTTTCCAAGGCCAGGTGGCTTGCTCATCCCAGTGTCTGAGACTCTAGGCACAGGCCTCCAAGATGACAGCCAATTCTCTGACACTGTTCTCTGTCTACTCTACCTATAGTGACAAACTACCACAATTTATAAGATAAACCTAAATTATAGGCTCCAGTCCACTGAACTGTTTGCGTGTACAGATTCTAAATGTTTCCCAGCACCTGTTCAGCCCTATTCAGGGGGATAGAGAGCTAGCACCTAACTGGTTCCTTCCTTCCTTCCCTGAGCCACATTTTTCCCAGTTCATCTGGGTTGCCTTACTGAGTTCTCTGCCATATGCCTGCGAATTGAGAAAAAAATACCCTGAATTATATATGTAGCAATACCAACCCCAATTATTTAAAATGATAAAAGTTAGTGTTTATTGAATGCTAAGTATATGGCAAAGTGCTTAGCTTTTCACTTGCATTATCTCATTTTGTCCAGATAAGATTTTATGTTATTGTTAAAATAATCATCCCTTATTTTCAGATGAATAATAGGCATAGAAAGATCTAGTGTATGAATAAAGGCTTATTTGAAATAAATTGTCTCTTTACATGTCAGAACTAGGAAATGAAAGCTGATTTGTAATGTTATAGAAAAGTTACAAAGGCATTAGAAATATGCTGATAATAAAAGTGATATGATGATTACAGTTGGAACAGAATAGAAATAAAGAGGTTACTAGACCTCTTTATTTATGACAAAATTAGTTTTGAGGAGATCATGGAATGAGAGAGAGTTTAACTCCACAACCACTCCCATCTCCCAGTCTAGCATTCTGCCTATACATACATATATATATATATATATATATATATATATATATATATATATATATATATTTTTTTTTTTTTTTTTTGAGATGGAGTCTTGCTCTGTCCCCAGGGTGGAGTGCAGTGGTGCAATCTTGGCTCACTGCAACCTCTGCCTCCAAGTTCAAGTGATTCTCTTGCCTTGGCCTCCCAAGTAGGTGGGATTACAGGTGCCCACCACCACACCCGGCTAAATTTTGTATTTTTAGTAGAGACAGGGTTTCACCCTATTGGCCAGGCTGGTCTCCAAACTCCTGACCTCAGGTGATCCACCTGCTATGGCCTCGGAAAGTGCTGGGATTACAGGTGTGAGCCACAGCACCTAGCTACTGTTATATATTATACTGCTTTGTAATCAACCTATTCTAGTCAGTTAGTATTTTTTAAAATTGTGAATAAATAGATTTTTTTATCTCCCATTTCCTCTGGTGAATCCAGATGCTGTCTCAGGAATCCTCCCAGGCTTCTTCCAGCCAACACTTCTAACACTCCCACCTGCCCTCTACTGGTTCCAAGAGCTAGGATGGACCCACCCAGGCTACAGAGTTATCTTGCAGAAGATTTTTTAAAATTAATATCTGCATCATGAAACACTTCTAAACTGTACAGCATTGGTACATTCTATGATTTCCTTGGGAAACCAATTTCCCCACATACCATCTATGCATGCAAAACAGTTATGTGGCGTAAAGCCACAGTCACTGGCCAAGACTTACCTTTTACATTGTGGTAGTTTGTCACTACAGGTAAACAGAGAGCAGTGCTACAGAATCAGCTGCTATCTGGGAGGCCTGTCTTAGACAGTTTTTGAGAAAGAATATTGCACCCAGTTCACTGTTATATGAAGAGCACACTTTTAACATTGTGGAACCAGTTACTAGATGTTACGGGTTGGATTGTGTCCCCTGACACTTCAAATTCATGTCTTCATTACATAGTATTCTGTTTGTATGGATATTTCAGAATAAATGATTCTGCTCAACTTAGTAAACAATTTTTTCAGTATAGGTGTTAATTCTTCGCTTCATTCTATTGGCCATCTTATTTCATAGGACAACAGAATAGTTAACAATTTATAATTTGGAGTCATACGGACCTGAGTACAAACCTTTCCTCTTCCATTTACTAACTTTGTGAACCTGAAAAAAAATTATTTAACTTTTTAAGACATATTTTTGGTCACCTGTATACAAGTTATTTATTTATTTATTTCACAAATATCTATTAAATGCCTATGATTTTACTAGATTTCTATGAAGATTAATAATAGAATGAAAGTCAAGTGATTAGTTGGTACTTAGCCCTTGATAAACATTTCCTATTATTGTTATTGCTTTCAACTCTCTATCTTAGAACAAAAACAAAATTGAACATGAGACAATTTTGTGCTGTCAGTCTTTCTTCACTTTGTGGTGTATTGCTGTTGAAAAGCAAACTGTAAATGTTTAAAAATTTTTCAAAGTTGTGACATTTATATTCAGAATGTAACTGTATTTGAGGATAGGCCCTTTATAGAAGTAATTAAAGCTACATGAGGTCAACCTTGCTGACATCTTGATCTGAATCTTCGAGCCTCCAGAACTAGGAGGAAATAAATTTCTGTTGTTTAAGCTGCAGTCTGTGGTACTTTGTTTTGGCAGTCCTAGTAACATACCAGGTAATTTTGGTGGGGCTGATCTCTGTGTCATGCTACCTTGTAGGCATTTAAAGAGGGAATTCCTGAAGTACTGGTGGGCAAAGGGCCATAGGGTTCCCTCTCTTAGTCAGTACATTTTGGAATGTGAGAGGTCATTTGGGGACTTGGGAGGAAGAGTGGAAGGGGAGTGAGGGATAAAAGACAGCAAATATGGTGCAGTGCATACTGTTCAGGTGATGGGTGCACCAGGCTCTCACAAATCTCCACCAAAGAACTTACTCATATAACCAAATATCACCTGTACCCCAACAAGTTATGGAAAAATAAAATAAAATAATTAAAAATTAAAATTAAAGGATTTACTTGCAGAGAGCACCACAGTGAGCAAACGCATTATAAAAGGTGGGCCAGTATTATTTAAAAAAATTCTATGTTTTCCCCAGCTCTTCAGGCCAATGTTTTTGTTTGCATTGGAAATATAACTTTATTCCTTATTGCCAAGTGAATATTGACAGTATTTATCTGGAAAAGAAGGATCAGAGCCCCCTCTCTGAAGGTGTGCACGCAGCATGTCAGTCAGGAGACCAGCAGGAAAAAGGCAGCCTGAGGCCATAAGGCAGATGAACCTGGAGTTCCAGCTCGCAGAACACAGAGTCCCAAGATAAAAACGCAAAGCCCAATTGCATAATCCTGCCCTTCCTTTTTGGTTAATATAGAAAGCTATGCATGGCTGTTGTGTATTAATTTCAGGAAAGTGGCCTTGAGAGACACAATAGAAGATTTTTTAGGGATTAAATCATTTCATGCATTTTTAAGGATTCAATTTAAATATTTGCCCTGAAAGGATTTTTAAAGGACATGGAAGAGTTCATGCACAATTTTCCTGCATGGTGTCCACATTTATTCTTAGTTGATATTGCTGTAATATCAATATGTTTTCTGACCAATATGAATGTCAGAACTGAAATTATTTTAAACATTAATAGTTTGCTTTTCAACAGCAATATACCACATAGTGAAGAATGATTGACAGCACAAAATTGTCTCATGTTCAGTTATTTTTTGTTCTGAAATAAAGATAGTTGAAAACAATAATAGTAACAGGAAATGTTTATCAAGGGCTAAGTACCAACTTGACTTTTATTCTTTTATAAATCTTCATAGAAATCTAATAAAGTCATAGGTATTTAATAGATATTTGTGAAATAAATAAATAAATGAACTGTATACAGGTGACCAAAAATATGTCTTAAAAAGTTAAATAATATTTTTCTAGTTCACAAAGTTAGTAAATAGCAGAGGAAAGATTTGAACCCAGGTCTTTATGACTCCAAAGTATAAACTGTTAACTACTCTGCTGTGCCATGAAATAAGATGATCAATAGAATGAAGCTAAGAACTAACACTTATACCAAAACAATTATTTACTAATTTGAGCAGAATCATTTATTCGAAGAGATCCATACAAACAGAAAACTTACCATGTAATGAACTATGTTTTTCATTCAGCAATCTCAAAGATTTTCTGTCAACATAATTTTGGATTGATGTTGCATGGTGGCCTTATTGCTTCACATAAGAGGTGAAAATTTAAGCATTATAAATTATTATTTTAAACCTAATTTAGGCTGTTGGACTGAATCTATATATTTAACTCTTTTACCTCCACAAAGCTCTTTAGAGAGTAAAAAAGCATGCATAATAAAATATTTATAAAAGGACTAGCACTGGTGAACTGAGATAAAGGTGGGAGATGACCAACAGTACACCTTAGATTTTCATAAATTGTTAGAATATGCAAAGCAATGAAATTATATGAATTCCTAAGCCTGATTGGGGCACAGAACATACACAGAAAAGAAGTGGCAAACAAGTTGTAAATCTTCCTAAGAATAAAATATCAGGAAGCTTCTGGGCTCTGATTATGCAGGTACAGAGCCAAGATCTGGGGTGGAGCATTTGATTGAAACAGTATCTGTTGAAGAGTAGCATGAATAAGGCTTCCCCCTTTTCATTATATCATCCAGGTGCAGTGTAGTTGCCTTCTGGAGGAAGTCAGGAAAATATTTTCCAAGAAATTAAACATCCACTTGGGATGGTTTAAGGCTCCAAGAGCGAGGACTGGTATTACAAATCTGATCTTTACTAAAATTTTCACTCTCCCCACTCACACATACAAAATAAACACTACTAGCTAACTTGACTAGCCTAGATGCAGAGATCTGGCAATCAGCCACATCGTTCAGGAAGGGAGCTTGCTAATGAAAGAAAAATGCAAGTAATCCAGAAAGTCCATGAAATCTACTCATGTCAATCTGCTTTGATCTTCACTCAAAAATAAATTAACAACCAAACTTACCAGATATTTAGGGTAGTTCAGCAACATAAAGAGAAGTTCTAATATTAAAACATATAGTGATTAATTCTAGAAGAATCAAAGTTAATTTAGAGATAAGAAATAAGTTTAAAAATTATTTTTAGTGTCCTTAGAGAGCTTGAGAGAATATATTGCATCCGTGAAAACAAAAAGTAATATTCCCTAAGTATCTATTAAATGTGCCATGCCATGTTGAGGATTATATAGAGTATTTCACTTTAACTTTACAACCATTATTACCTTCAGTTACAGATGGGACAACTGATACATAGAGAAATTAAATGATTTGCCCAAATTTGTGCCTAATTAGCTATATAGACGACAAAAGAAAAAAGTATTTAGAATATTTCAACAAAATTAACTAATGAAAAATGTAACAAAAACTAAGATAAAGAGGAGGAGTCAGAAAATTATGACCTCTGCTTCATTTTTTATGGCTTAAGCTAAATTTTTTTTCTTCCATTTTTAGAGAATTGTCAGAAGAAGAAGAAGAGAAGGAATAGGAGAAAGAGAAAAATGAAGTGAAGGAGGAGGAGAGGGAGTGAAAGGGAAAGAGAGGAAGAGAAGAGCTAGAAACTTTACATGACACCTCCTCAAGCCTAAAATATTTACTTTCTCATCCTTAACGAAAAAAATTGCTGACACTTGATATAGAAGATCAGTGCAGGAGGGATGTTATCCAGCTAATAGAGATTATGATAATAGGAACCAGAAAAATAGAGATGAGGAATAATCAATAAAATCATAAAAGACAAATTTCCGTAACTTGAAAGGATTCACTGAAGAACTAGCAGGAAGAATAAACAATACACACACACACACACCCCACACACGTGTACACCCCTTACAATTAAATGTACTGTAATAAACTATTTGAATGTCAAGGATAAGAGAACATGCCAAAAATTTCTACAAAGAAAAAAGAGAGAGAGCTCGCTCACTAAAACAAACAAACAAAAAATAATATTGGCATCAGAATTCTCATTTGCATCGCTTGCTGCTAGATGTTTTGAGGTCAGCACTGTATCATCATTATATAAAACACTTGCCACATAGTAAGTCTAAAATAAAAAATTGTCAAATGAATTAAATAAAAACTATCAGGCTCAGCAAGAAATGAGTGACAGGTAGTGATACACCTGTTCTGAGTCTTAGGTGCCTGAATGCCTGCTGAATCTGTGTTGACCCTGTGCGGTGACTGCCTGCTTAGAACAAAAGGATTGAGTTATGACTCTTTTCTGTTTTTTCCACTGTTCCTTTTTTACAATTGTAAGGTTTTTTTTTTTTTGAATGAATACTTTCAAGAAATCTTCTAATTATAGGCACTTTTGATCTGATTTATTTTATCAATGAGATGTGGACAAATGAAGAGTAAAACATGGTAAGATTTAGACAATTGTTTTTAAATTTAATTTTATTAAACAATGATTCTGAGTGATTAAATAAGATCAAATTTAAATAGCCATTGAATTCATTGAATTCAATGTATTCACCTGAAGCTCTGTAGTTGTTCATTTATTTCTTTTTTTTTTTATAATTAATTTTTGGGGTACATAGTGGGTGAATGTATTTATGGGGTGTATGAGATATTTTGATACAGGTAAAAAATACATAATGATCACTTCAAGGTAAATGGGGTATGCATCATCTCAAGCATTTATCATTTCTTTGTGTTATAAACATTTCAATAATCTTTTAGTTACTTTAAAATGTGCAATAAATTATTGACTGCAGTCACTTTGTTGTGTTATCAAAAACACGATCTTATTCATTCTAACTATATTTTTCTAATGATTAACCAACTCTATTTCCTCACCACCCACTACCCTTCTCAGTCTCTGGTAACCTTCATTCTACTGTATCTTCATGAATTCAATTGTTTTAATTTTTAGATCCCACAAATGAGTGAGAACACGTGAAGTTTCCCCTTCTGTGCCTGACTTATTTCCTTTAACACCCCCAGTTCAATCCGTGCTGTTGCAAATGACAGGATCTCATTCTTTTTTATGTCTGATTAGTACCCCATTATGTATATGTACCACATTTTCTTTATTTATTAGTCTATTGATGAATACTTAGGTTGATTCCAAACCTTGGCTATTGTGAATAGTGCTACAATAAACATGAGGGTGCAGATATCACTTCAACATACTGATTTCATTTTCTTTTATAAAAACCCAGTAATGGAATTGCTGGATCATATGGTAGCTCTGTGTTTAGTTTTTTGAGGAACCTCCAAACTGTTTTCTTTAGTGATTGTACTAATTTACATTCTTACCAATAGTGAATGAGGGTTCCCTTTTCCTCACATCCTCAACAGCATTCACTATTGCCTGTCTTTTAGATAGAAGCCATTTTTACTGGGTAAAGTGATATCTCATTGTAGTTTTGATTTGCGTTTCTCTGATGATCAGTGGTGCAGAGCACCTTTTTATACACCTGTTGCCATTTGTTTATCTTCTTTTGAGAAATGTCTATTCAAATATTTTGGCCATTTTTAAATTGGATTATTTTATTTCTTCCTAATGAGTTGTTTGACCTCCTCATGTATTCTGGTTATTTATCCTTCATCAAATGAATACTTTGCAAATATTTTCTCCCATTCTATGGGTTGTCTCTTCACTTTGTTGATTGTTTCCTTTGCTGTGTGCAGAAGCTTTTTAACTTGATTTGTTACCATTTGTCCATTTTTGCTTTGTTTGCCTGTGCCTGGCAGGTATATTACTCAAGAAATCTTTGCCCACACCAATGCCCTGGAGAGTTTCCCGATGTTTTCTTGTGGTAGTTGCATAGGCTGAAGTTTTAGATTTAGGTCTTTACTCAATTTTGATTTGATTTTTGTATTTAGCAAGAGACAGAGGTCTAGTTTCACTCATCTACATATAGATACCCAATTTTCCCAGGACCATTTATTGAAAAGAGTGTCATTTCCTTATTGTATGTTCTTGGTACATTTGTTGAAAATGAATTTACTGTAGGTGTATGGTTTTGTATCTGGGTGCTATTCTGTTTCATTGTTCTAAGTGTTTTTATGCCAGTACCACTAAAAATTTTTTTTCAAGTTACTATAGCTCTGTAGTATATTTTGAAGTCAGGTAATGTGATTCCTCCAGTTTTGTTATATTTGCTCAGGATGGCTTAGGCTACTCTGGATCTTTTGTTGTTCCATATACATTTTAGGATCATTTTTTCTATTGCTGTGAAGAATGTCATTGCTTTTGGATAGGGATTGCATTGAATCTGTAGATTCCTTTGGATAGTATGAACATTTTGACAATATTGATTCTTCCAATCCATGAACAGAAAATATCTTTCCATCTTTTATGTCGTCTTCTATTTCTTTTATAAATATTTTAAAGTTTTCATTGTAGAGCTCTTTTACTTCTTTGGTTCAGCTTATTCCTAGGTATCTAACATTATTTGTGCCTAATATAAATTGGATTACTTTCCTGATTTTATTTCAGATTGTTTGCTGTTGGAATATAGAAATACTACTGACTTGTATGTTGATTTTGTATCCTTCAACTTTTTTTTTATTATTATTATACTTTAAGTTTTAGGGTACATGTGCACAATGTGCAGGTTAGTTACATATGTATACATGTGCCATGCTGGTGTGCTGCACCCATTAACTTGTCATTTAGCATTAGGTATATCTCCTAATGCTATCCCTCCCCCCTCCCCCCACCCCACAACAGTCCCCTTCCTGTGTCCATGTGTTCTCATTGTTCAATTCCCATCTATGAGTGAGAACGTGCGGTGTTTGGTTTTTTTGTCCTTGTGATAGTTTGCTGAGAATGATGATTTCCAATTTCATCCATGTCCCTACAAAGGACATGAACTCATCATTTTTTATGGCTGCATAGTATTCCATGGTGTATATGTGCCACATTTTCTTAATCCAGTCTATCATTGTTGGACATTTGGGCTGGTTCCAAGTCTTTGCTATTGTGAATAGTGCCGCAATAAACATACATGCGCATGCGTCTTTATAGCAGCATGATTTATAGTCCTTTGGGTATATACCCAGTAATGGGATGGCTGGGTCAAATGGTATTTCTAGTTCTAGATCCCTGAGGAATCGCCACACTGACTTCCACAATGGTTGAACTAGTTTACAGTCCCACCAACAGTGTAAAAGTGTTCCTATTTCTCCACATCCTCTCCAGCACCTGTTGTTTCCTGACTTTTTAATGATTGCCATTCTAACTGGTGTGAGATGGTATCTCATTGTGGTTTTGATTTGCATTTCTCTGATGGCCAGTGATGATGAGCATTTTTTCATGTGTCTGTTGGCTGCATAAATGTCTTTTGAGAAGTGTCTGTTCATATCCTTTGCCCAGTTTTTGATGGGGTTGTTTGTTTCTTTCTTGTAAATTTGTTGGAGTTCATTGTAGATTCTGGATATTAGCCCTTTGTCAGATGAGTAGGTTGCAAAAATTTTCTCCCATTTTGTAGGTTGCCTGTTCACTCTGATGGTAGTTTCTTTTGCTGTGCAGAAGCTCTTTAGTTACCTCTTTCAACTTTACTGAATTTTTTTTTCAGTTCTAATAATTTTTTTTGGTGGAGTCTTTAGGTTTTTCCAAGTAAAAGATCATGTCATCTTCAAATACGGGTAATTTGACTTCTTCCTTACCAACTTGGATGCCCATTATTTCTTTCTTGTGTCTGACTGCTGTGGGTAGGAGTTGCAGCACTGTTTCGTAACGATGAAAATGGACAGCCTTGTTGTGTTCCTGATCTTAGAGGAAAGAACTTTAGTTTTCCCCTATTTAGTATGATACTAGCTCTTTATCTGTCATATATGGCTTTCATTGTGTTGAGGTATGTTTCTTAAACACCCAGATTTTTTTAGGGTTTTTATCTTGAAGGGATATTGAATATTATTAAGTGCATTTTCTGTATCAAATGAAATAATTATATGTTTTTATCCTTCATTCTGTTGATATGATATGTCACATTGATTGATTTACATATGATGAAACATCCTTGCACCCCAGAGGTAAATCCCACTTGATCAAGCTGAATGAACTTTTTAAATGTGTTACTGAATTTGGTTTGTTAATAATTTTTGCATCAGTATTTATTAAGGTCATTGGCCTGTAGTTTTCTTTTTATTATTTGTCTTGGTGTGGGTTTGTTATCAGTGTAATACTTGCTTCATAGAATGAGTTTGGAATTATTCCCTCCTACTCTATTTTTCAGAATAATTTAAGTAGGATTGGTATTATTTCTTCTTTAAATGTTTGGTAAAATTCAGCAATGAAGCGATTGGATACCTGACTTTTCTTTGCCAGTAGACTTTTTGTTACTTTTTCAAGCTCTTTATTTGTTATTGTTCTATTCAGATTTTGGATTTCTTTATGGTTCCTTCTTGGCAGGTTTTATGTGTTTAGAAATTTATCCACTTCCAGGTTTTCTGGTTTATTGACATATAGATGCTCTTACTAACCACTAGTGATCCTTTGAATTTCTGTTGTACCGGTGGTAATATCTTGTTTTTTATTTCTTTTGACTGAATAGTTTAGTCCATTTACATTCAATGTTATTATGAAGAAGGCAAGACTTACTTTTGCCATTTTGTCATTAGTTTTCTGGTTGTTTTGTAACCTTTTCTTCCTTCCCTCTTTCTTTCCTGTCTTCTTTTTTGTGAAGGTAGTTTTTCTGGTGATACGTTTTAATTTCTTTCTTTTTCATTTTTTGTGTATCCGTTGTAGTTTTATTTATTTCAGTCTTCTCTCTTTTTCTATAGTCTTGTTACAACTTTCTTGGTTTTGTTTACCTTTTCAAAAAACCAACTTCTGATTTTTTAGTTTCTTTGTTTCAATTTTATTTACTTCTGATCTTCTTCTTATTTTGTGTTTGATTTTCTCTTGCATTTCTAATTCTTTCAGATGCATCATTTGGTTGTTTATTTGAAGTTTTTCTACTTTGTTGATATAGGTGCTTATTGTTATAAACTTTCCTCTTAGTACTGCTTTCACTGTATTCCATAGGATTTGGTATGTTGTGTTTCTATAGTCATTTGTTTCAAAAATTTTTAAACTTTATTCTTAATTGCTTCATTGACTCACTTGTCAATTGGTAGCATATTGTTTAATTTCTCTGTGTTTGTACAGTTTCCAAAGTTTCTCTTATAGATTTCTAATTTTATTTCCTTTCAGTTAGAAAAGATACTTGATATAATTTCATTTTTAAAAATTTCTTGAGACTTTTTTGTAGCTAACATACAGTCTACCCTTGATAATGACCCATGTTCTGATGAGAAGAATGTATATTCTACAGCTATGGGATGAAATGTTCTGTAAATATCTGTTAGGTTCATTTGGTTTGTAGTACAGATTAAGTCTGATGTTTCTTGGCTGATTTTCTGTTTGGATGATGTCTAATGCTGAAATAAGGGGTTGAAGTCTCAAGCTATTAGTATATTAGGGTCTATCTCTCTCTTTAGCTCTAGTAATATTTGTTTTATATATCTGTGTGCTCTAGTGTTGGGTGCATATATACTTACAATTGTTATATCCTCTTGCTGAGTTGACCCCTTTATCATTATTTAATTACCTTCCTTGTTTCTTTTTATATGTCTTTGTCTTGAAAGCTATTTTGTCTGAAATAAGTATATCTACTTCTGCTAATTTTTAGTTTGCATTGGCATGAACTATCTTTTTCCATTTCTTTATTCTCAATCTATGTGTGTCTTTATAGGTGAAGTGTGTTTCTTATAGGTAATAGATCATTAGGTCTTGTTTTTATTCATTCAGCCACTCTATATCTTTTGTTTGGAGTGCGTAGTCCATTTGTATTCAATGTTATAATGGATAGGTAAAGACTTACTTTTGCCATTTTGCCATTTTGTTATCAGTTTTCTGGTAGTTTTGTAATCTTTTCTTCCTTCCTTCTTTTTTTCTTGTCCTCCTCTTTGTGAAGGTACTTTTCTCTGGTGGTATGTTTTAATTTTTTTCTTTTAAATTTTTTTGTGTATCCACTATAAGTTTTTTGATTTGAGGTTACGATGAGGCTTGCCTGTAACATCTTATAACCAATTATTTTAAACTGATGATAACACTGATTGCAAAATCAAACAAATTAACAAATAAGGAAAGAGAGAACTAATAAAATCTCTACACTTTGCATCTTTCACTTCTAAACTTTTTGTTGTTTCTATTTATATCTCCTTATATACCTATGTCTTTAAAAATTGTTGTAGTTATTATTTTTGAAAGGTTCATCTTTTAGTATTTCTACTCAAGATATGAGTAGTTTTCACACCACAGTTACAATGTTATAATAGTCTATGTTTATCTGTGTACTTACGATTACTAGTGAGTTTTGTACCTTTAGATGTTTCTTATTGTTTGTTAACATCCTTTTCTTTCAGACTGAAGAACTCCCTTTAGAATTTCATGAAGGACCAGTTTGTTGTTGTTGAAATCCCTCAACTTTTGTTTGTCTAGTAAAATTTTTATTTCTCCTTCATGTTTGAAGGATATTTTCACTGGACATACTATTCTAGGATAAAAACTTATTTCCCTCAACATGTTAAATATGTCATGTCACTCTCTCTTAGCCTGTAAATTTTCCACTGGGAAGTCTGGTGCAAGACATATTGGAGCTCCTTTGTATGTTATTTATTTCTTCTCTCTTGCTTCTTTTATCCTTGACACTTGGGAGTTTAATTATTAAATGCCTTGAGGAAATCTTCTTTGGGTTAAATCTGCTTTGTGTTCTATAACCCTCCTGTACTTGAATATTGATATCTTTCTCTAGGGTTGGAACATTTTCTGTTGTATTCCCTCTGAATAAACTTTCCCCAGATCTCTCTCATGCCCTCCTCTTTAAGGCCAATAATGTGTAAATTTGCCCTTTTGAGACTATTTTCTAGATCTTGTAGGCTGCTTCATTTTTTTGTATATACTTTTTTTTTTTTAGTTTCCTCTGGCTGTTTATTTTCAAATAGCCTGTCTTCATGTTCACTATTTTTTTTCCTCTGCTTGATCAATTCTGCTGTTGAGAAACCGTGATGCATTCTTCATTGTGTCAGTTGGATTTCTGTGACTCTTGTAGGCTCATAAGGATACTATCTTGGTGATCTTGGGTAAGATCTGGGAGAATTTCTTAGATTACTAAGCAGAGACTTTTGTTCCTTTCTTTTACTTTCCCCCAAATAAACAGGATGTCCCTCTTCATGGAGAGCTGCCTGAAGCTGAGAAGGGTGCGACGGACCTGAAGGCTGCACAGCGCCGGGTCTTACCCAAGGCTCAAGGTGACCGCTGCCTGGTTTCTGCTGGTGTTTATTCAAAGCCCAAGGGCTCTCCAGTCAGCAAGTGGTGAATCTAGTCAGACATGTGTCCTACGCTTCAGGGCAATGAGCTTCCCCTCAGCCTAAGGTGAGTCTATGATTGCCCTCTGGGAGTCAGGGCTGAAGTCAGAAAACTCTGGAATGTATTTGGTGCGCTGTTCTACTGTGGCCGAGTTGTTACCCAAGCTGCAAATCAACGTTCTTTCCACCCTTCCCTCTCCTTTTCTCATGCAAAGGAAGTTGTCTCTTGTGGCCACCACTGCTCCAGACCTGTGACAATTACTGCTTGGCTATTGCCGATGTTCACTCAAGGCCCAAGGGCTCTTCAGCCAGCTGGGTTGAATGTTGCCAGGCCTAGCTCTCTCCCTTCAGGACAATAGGCTTCTCTCTGGCCCCAGGCAGGTCCAGAAATGCTGTTCAAAAGCTAATGCCTAGAACTGGGGACCCCGGGAGGCTGCTTGGTGCTTTACCCCTCTGTGGTCGAGCTGGTACCTAAGATGCAAGACAAAGTCACCTTTACTCTTTCATCTCCTTTTAAAAGCAGGAGTATCTTCTCATGTCTACCAGAGCTGGGAATGGAGTGGTAACATTTAAAGCCAGCACAACCCTGGGTCTCACCCAAGGCCCACAGTGAAAACTTCCTGGGTACCATTAATTCTTATTCACGGCCCAAGTTCTCTTAGTTAGTAGGTGATGAATCTTGCCATGACTGGGTTATTCCATTCAAGGCAGCATGTTCCATTCTGGCCCAGTGTGTGTCTAGAAATGTCAACTGGGAGCTGGGGCCTGGAACAGGGGCCCCAGGACTCTGCCTGGTGCCCTATTACACTATGGCTGAATTGGTATCCTACTTGCAAAACAAAGTTCTCTTTTTTCCCTTCTCCTTCTGAGCTGTGAGCTGTGCTGTCTGGGGTAAGGGGCATGGGAGAAACAAGCACTTCTAGGCATCTCCAGCTGGTACCTCACTAGGTCATGTGCACTCAAAATCCACTGGTTCAAGCCCAGCACGACAAAAAAAACTTGCTCAGGAATTGCAGTTGTTGTGGCATAGTCTCTGCCTTTCAAGTTTATTTATGACCCTAGAACACTTTATCCTGCAGTGGTGGTGCTAACCAGAACTCAGGTTCTGACCATGGGGTTAGGTGACTCCCTTCTGGCTGGGGCTAGTCTAAATTCTACCTCTGGGGGCGCTGGCTGAATTCTCTCTCACGTTGCTTTCCATTTGACAGGGCAGCACTGAGTTCCAACATAAAAAGTTCCGCAATCACTGCTCTATCTATCCTGCATACACACAAATTCTCTTTCTGCACCACATGGCCACCTCCAGGGGAATAGGGGACAGGTTGTGTCATCCATTCAAGACTATCTTTCCTACACTCTCTTCAGTGCTTCTTTCTTTGCTATGATGTTAAAACCAGATAATATGATTGCTCACTTCATGTTTGGTTCTTATCAAGGTTCTTTCTTGTGTGGAGAGTTGTTCAATTTGGTGTTCCTGCAGGGTGGATGATCACTGGAGGCTTGTAGTCGGCCGTCTTGCTTTGCCTCCTCCTGTTTATTTACTTCTGGAAAGAACTCCTCCATCATATCTCTTTCACCTCATACATAATAAAATAGTTTTAGGATTACAATAAATTATTACATAAATATTCAGTAGGCTCTAAAAAATACAGATGGAGTCTCACTATGGTACTCAAGCTGGTTTTGAACTCCTGGCCTCAAGCAATTCTATTGTCTTAGCTGCCTGAGTAACTAGACTTACAAGCACGAGCCACCGTGCCAGGCTATTTTTCATTATTGCTTAAAAATCTTTATTGTATTCTTTGAACTAAAGTATAATTTTGAACACACACAAAATTTATATATTTGACGATACATCCAGGTGAATTTGATATAATTTTAAATGACTTTTAGAAGCATTACAACAAAAATGTTAATTTACATAATATGGTTACTTCTCACAAAATTCCACTTTTCAGCCTTTGAGATGAGACATAGCTTACCCAAGCTCACACAGGTAGTAAGTGGTAGCTGAGATCCAAACTACCTTGAGTGATGCATAGCATAAGCTGTAGTGATTCAACATTCAAACACCAGATGTTACCCTGGGGTATATAGACAATATTCCTTTAAAAAAATTGGGAAAGAAATAAGGGACCAACATAATATATGTTATTGGAGAGTATGATAACTTTTGGACTTTGAGATTTGCAATTTTCAGTAAAACCTGAATAGCTGTGTGATGGGGCTGGGGCTTTCAGTAAACAGTAGATCAGAACAAAAAGGGAAAAGTTAGTGCATTTTATTATTTAAAATATGTATGGAACCAAACTGCACTAGTAAAGGGACAATTTCAGAAACATGGCAAGTCAGCAGTCAGCAGTGAAACTTAGATTAGAAATGGAAAGTTCATACTTGGGCCTTACCTGTGATTTATTTGCAGACCGAGACTCAGGAAGTGGGATTGATATTTGAAGCATTTCCCTTCCTCCTTTATAACACTATTTACAAAGCTGCAATGGCAAAATGTTCTTCAAAACCCAGTGAAATGTGAAGTTTGGCCAGTTTGCTTTTTATGGGCTAAGGATTTTACTTTGGTCTATATGTCATTGTGCTTTATTTATGAATCCATTTTTATAAGCTAAGCGCTATTTTCATATCTTGTTAATATTTTGGTTCTTTGAACTAAAATATCCTTTGTTAAAATTTCAAAAGTAAATAGACTATATTTATTCCATGATTACAACATTCTGGATTAAGTTTTACAATAAATAAATCCTTTCTTGAAGTGTCTGACAATGGTAGAGGCTAGATGAATTTGTTTTTGCAGGCATAATGCTTCGTCAATACAGGCCTATTGTTTCCATGGACTTTAAGAAATAATGTCTATTAAAATAGCTATGATATTGTGGAACAATTGCCAATATTTTGGAAATAGGGAGATTCAAAACAGTGTAGTGTGTCTACAATAAATTTAATGAAAACCATTCAATAGCTCTCCCCACTACATGGAAGTTCAATTGTAACTTAGATACTAATTTTGATCATTATAAATGTATTCACAGCTTTTACCAGTATCAATCCTTCCAAATAATTTGTTAACATAATTAGCATACAGCTTTTGAAACTATTCATTTGCTTTGAGTTTCATCACCGTCCTAAAGAGCAAACTAACCATTAACTGCTGATATCGGCTACATCTTTAGTGACTTAGATGCAGGATATAAATGACTCTTGAAATTAGCATTATTAATTAGGAAAGAAAAAACTTGTGTTTTTATTCTTTGGTTGAAAGGTAGTATTGGCCTATCTGGAGTTTAACTGATAACACTGTAATTTTAAATTTTGTATTAATAAGCTATTTTATGTGTGTAAAAATAAAACTCCCTTTTTATTGTTATCAAAATTGCTAGAAGCTTAAAATCCAGAAATGAGGCATAGTCCACTAGCAATGAATTTTCATACAGACAAAAAACAACCAAGCAATATATCATAAAAACTTTTTTCTTTATCAGTGCATGCGGTTTCTCATAAAATAAATACATTCGAATTTTGCATAATTTGTTTTTTCATTTTCCACAAGATGTTCTCTGATTTTCATAATTTACTTATATTTATGCTGGTAGGAAGTGTGCTTCCTGCAATTTTGTGGGAATTTGCGTTACTCAAATTTCAGGCATGGTTGTTTACATTATTAGCTTTTCTGAGAATATATTACTTAAAGTTGGATTTTAAGATATCCAAATCTTCTAAATCATATTATTAAGACTTATCGTTTATTGAAATTATACACAGGATGCTTCAGCATATTTTTCACATATAAAAATAATTATATTTTTGCCTGAGTTCTTAGGCATTTATCTCCTTAATCCTTTTTCCCTCCTATTTTCATACAAAATAATTATTTTGAAATGTTTTAATAACTGTTCTGACATCTATCTTAACCTGTTTTATATTAAAATAACCTATTCAAGGACAGAATACAGATACAGATATTCATCATGTATCCACATTTTCTGTATATTCAAATACTTGTTGGCTGACTGAATGAACAAATTAATTCCTGACTGGACGGATTTATTATATTCAGGTTTAAAATTAGTATATTTCACCTTTTGAAATTTTAATAACAAATTTATTAAATATAAAAAAATTCAGAAGAGATTGGATATTCATGGGAAAAATGAATGTGTACTGAATGAAAATATTTATATTTATTGAAAACTGTGCACCCATTTTAAAGTTACCATATTCATTTGATTTTTCCTAAAATGTTTATTGAGATTTGTATAAGAGAGAGAATGTTAGTACCATGCAGTCAGTTTATCTTGCCAGAACCTGAGATGCATCTTAGCACCCTGTATTTATTTTATTACATAAGCTCAGCTTTCACTTCTAGAGAATAGGTTTAACAATACCATCCTCTAAATATTTAAACATTTCTAATATTTATTGACCTCCACATTCCCTAGCCCTAGTTTAAATTTCATTATTTCTCACTGAGAATATTAAAAGTCTCTGTACTGTTCCCTCTTTCTTTGGTCTTATCTTTCAATAAACCTGAATTCCATATCAGCATGACTTTTCAAAATATATCTAACCTTTATTCACTTGCTTGAAATTCTTCATTCACACTTTAATACCCACAGAATGATATCTTACTTCCTTAACATTATATGCAAGACCTTTATATACTTGCTCAGCCTTATCTTCCAGTATTCTCTGCTTTCAATAAATAATTTGTAGTTACTTGAACCCACTGTGTAATTTCATGTATCTATTCACTTTTTCCCACTATCCAGGATTGTTTGTCTCTTAATATCTACCTGGAAACTTGTCACTCATGGTTTAAAATTCAGTGCAAGTAAGGTGTAACTTCTGGAATGGTAAAGGGGTACCTTAGTAAATTCTTCTCCAAGAGCAATAATATAAAGCCCCCAATTCCCCATACCAATCATTTCAGATCTCTGAAAATTAACCAAAGGCATAAAACAAATTGAAAAACATTTATGGGAAAGTAACTACTGAATCTTGGTAAGAACAATGGGATGCATGTTCCTTTAACGTGCACCTCGACAACTCCATCAGGGCTCATCTGCTCAGAAGTCCCATGGAGAGTATCCTCACCCAGTGAGTAGCAGTTGGTGGCAAATAATTGGAGAAAGTTGATGTCTCAGTTGATTCAGTCTCTGATGCTGGGGCAAGCAAGAGACCAGGCAAAAACTTAATAGAGGGATTTAGGGAATGAGATAGTCACAGAGGAACTTGAAAAGTTTCTGGTAATCTGGAAGGCTAAGTTCACATGCACGGCAGCACACACGATCAAGTCTGCAGGTGTATTTAGGGAAGAATGGAGAGGCTCCCAGTTAGTTACTTATACCTGCTGGACCATGAGACACTTTATTAAAAAAAAAAAAATGAAAATCTGAGTAGACGTGTGAATTGCCTAAATTTTGAATGTGTGTCACAACCCACACAGATTTCCTCAGCCAATGGTGGAAGCCTTACTGGCTCATGATGTTTAAAGAAAAGTTTTGCCCATTCTCTGGGTGGTCATTAAGCTCTGCTTAAGAAATTGAGCTTTAAAATATTGATAATAAATTTAAAAAAAATGTAAGCAGCAACTTCAGTGTTTACACACTGTAGAAAGGACAGTTTCTAAAGAACTAATCCAGGCCAGCTACTAAAAAGCAAACAAGCAAACAAAAGAAACAATAAGTCTGAGTTGGGGAGGATATCTAGAATCCAGAATTACTACAATAATTGAGTTAAGATAGCCAGTTGGCAGGGCACGGTGGCTAACGCCCGTAATCCCAGAACTTTGGGAGGCCGAGGTGGGTAGATCACCTGAGATCAAGAGTTCAAGACCAGCCTGGCCAATATGGTGAAACCCCGCCTCTACCAAAAATACAAAAAATTAGCCAGGCGTGGTGGTGGCACCTGTAATCCCAGCTACTCAGGAGGCTGGGGCAGGAAAATCCCTTGAACCTGGGAAGCAGAGGTTGTAGTGAGCCAAGATCTTACTGTACTCTGGCCTGGGCAAGAGAGAGAGACTCTATCTCAAAAACAAACAAACAAACAACAACAACAACAACAACAACAAATCTTCACCTAAAGTTATGAGACAGAGAAAAATCAAACTGTTGCCCATTTAAAGAGATAAAAAGTAATCAATAGAAGCAGAAGCTGTCCCTGACTGTAAGTAAGCTATTATATTCAAAAGCAAAAGGAAATATGTTTAAAGAATTAAATGTACTTATAAAACCAATGACTCAACAAATAGAGAATATTAATAAAAAGTTATCAATCATAAAGTAAACATCAGGTTGAAAAGAAAACATTTTAGTTACTGAAAATATTTCAGGTTACTGAAAATATTTTAGAAAGTTCTAGAAGTGCTCAACTGCAGATTTGAGTGGGAAGAAGATTCAGTGAATATGAAGACAGGTCATTCAAGATTATGCCAACTGAAGAACATAATAAATGATGAATAAATAAAAATGAACAGATCCTGAGAGGCCTGTGGAACACCATTAAATATATCAGTATATGCATAAGAAAAATCTCAGAAAAAGAGAAGAGAAAGAAAGGGACAGAAAAAAATATTTGATGAATTAATGACCAAAAGATTCACAAATTTGACAAAATTTTTTAACATACATGTCTATGAGGCTCAACCTAATCCAAGTAGGTTAAACTCAGAGAAGTCCACAGCTAGACAAATCACATTTATCAAAAGCTAAACACAAAGGTAAAATTTTGAATAAAGCAAGAGAAATATGACCCATCGTGTACAAGAGAACCTCAGTAAGATTTACAGCTGAATTCTCAGCAGGAAAAATGGAGTGACATAAGGTGATGGAATACCATATCAAAATTATGGAAAATCACTGCCAGCCAACTAAAATAAAAGATATTCCTAGATAAAGACTGAGCAAGTTAGTTTCTGACAGAATTGGCTTACAAGATATACTAACGGGAGTTCCTCTCAAGAGTAAGAAGTAGTTCAAAAGCACATGAAGAAATAAAGTATAGATAAAGGTAACTCGATAAATATGAAAAATATTATATAAATATATATAGTCTACTCTTAATGATTTAAAAGACAGATTCACATGTAATATTTATAGCATTACATTGTTGGGTTTATAACATATAAAAATGTATTTGAATCACAATAGTAACAGAAAAGAGAGGCAGAGAAGTGAGTGTATCGGAGCCAAGTGTCTATATACAATCAAAATTATGCTAGTATTAATCATAAGTAGATTGCTTTAAGATGTATTTTGTAATTTCCAGAACAACCCTAAGAAATGCTAAGAAAAATAACTAAAAAAATAACTCAAAAAGTAGAGTAAAATAACAAAGCAAGTAAAATATACACTAAAAAATATCTATGTTACAGAAAAGGAGATCATAAAGAACAAAGGAACAAAAAAGATATAAGACATATAGAAAACCAATAGAAGACTGGAAATAGAAATCTAGCCATCTCACTAATTATATTAGATATAAAATGATTAACTATTGCAATGAAAATGCAGAGATTGACAAACTTGATTAAAAAGAAACTGAATCCAATATATGTTTTCTATGAGACACGTTAGAATCAAACAAATAAGTTAAAGAACAAATACAATAATACAAAGCAAAAACAACTAAGAAACAAATATATTAAAATTAAAAGAATGAAAAGAATATGTCGTGTAAATGGTAACCACAACAGAGCTGCAGTGGCTTTACTAATATCAGAAAAAATAGACTTTAAGATAAAGAGGTGTTATTAGAAACAAAGAGAGACATTTTATAATAATAAATGTGTCAGTTCATCAGGAAAGTTCAATATTTATAAAAACATTCACCTAACGAGAGCCTGAAAGAACATGAAGGAAAGATTGACAGAATTAAAGGGAGAAATAGACAATTCCTCAATAGTAGTTACAGACATCAATACACCATTCTCAATAATTAAGAGAACAACCAGTCAGAAGATGAGCCTGAATATGGAAGATTTGAAGAGCACTCACTGTCCCACAGCTAGACCAAGTTTACATCTATTAAACAATTTACTCAATAATAACAGAATATACTGTTCTCAAGTGCACATGAAATATTGTCAAGAGTCCATAAAATGCGTCAAGAAGTTTTAAAGAACTTAAATTATCCATGCATATTCTTTGACTAAAATAGAATTAATTAAATGTAAATTAAACAGCAGAATGAAATTGAAAATGAATACCAGAAGGAAATTTGGAAAATCTACAAATATTTGGAAATTAAACAACACCTGCCATGTAACATCATTTTGAAAGTTAAATAAATATGTACATAAAATATCTTGCAGATTTTAGGTGCCCCAGTTATTTTCTCATTAATTAGTTCATTCTACAAATATTTATTTAGTGTCCACTTTTTGCCAGATATTGTGCTAAGAGTTGGAAATACAATGAAATAAAAATAGATACAGTGCCTAATGTAATAAATCTTACATTATAATGGAAAAATAGTACAATTATATCAAAATTGAATTCTTAGAAGTAGTATTGTATTAATCTGTTTTCACACTGCTGATAAAGATATACCTGAGACTGGGTAACTTACAAAGAGAAAGAGGTTTAATGAACTCACAGTTCCATGTGGCTGAGGAGGCCTCACAATTATGCCAAAATGTGAAAGGGAAATTGTGCATAGCGGCAGGAAAGACAGAAATGACAACCAAGTGAAAGGGGTCTTGCCCAAGGCCTGCCCTAGCCACTGGCTATGGCTCATGATCACTCAGGGCCCTGGGCTGTACAATCAGCAGGTGGTGAAGCCAGCCAAGCCATTGTCCTGTTCAGGGTAGCAAGTACCCCAGGGCCCAGCCATGTCCAGAGGTGCCTTCCAGGAACCAAGGACTAGAAAAAATCACCACAGGCACCTCCCTTGGACTCTTGTGCTACAGCAGAGCTTGCATTCAAACCACAGCATGCAGTCTTTCCTATTCCTTCTTCTCCTTTCCAAAGGCAGAGGAGGCTCACCCCATGACCACTGCCACCACAGGCCCACGGGGAGTACTGCCAGACTACTGCTGATGTTCCCTTAATGCCCAAGGGCTCTGTCACCTTGTGGTGAATGCTGCCTGGACTGAGACTTACCCTTTAGGGCAGTGGGCTCCAGTTTGGTGCAGGGCAGGTCCAGAAATGTCATCAAAGAGTCAGATCCTGGAATTGGGGACCCCAAGAGTCTGCTTGTTGCTCTGTCCCACTGGCGCAGGGCTGGTACCTAAGGTGGCAACACAAAGTTCCCTTTATTTTTTTCACTTTTTCTCAAGTGGAGGGAGTCTCTTCCTGTAGCCACCACAGCTAGGAGTGTGCTGAGTCTAACTTGAAGATAGCAAGCCTCAGAGTCTCACCCAAGGCCGTTGACACATTACCTGGGTATCACTGCTGGTTATTCAGGGCCCAGGGGCTCTTCAGATAGCATGTAATGAATCATTCCAGGAATGGCACCTTCTCCTCAAGGCAGCGGGTTCCTTTCTGTAGTGTGGTATGTCTAGAAATGTCATCCAGGAGCTAGGGCCTGCATAGGAGGTCTCATGATTCTGACCAGTGCCCTATCGTTCTGTGGCTGAGCTGCCATTGAAGATTTAAGACAAAATGCTTCTCACTCTTCCCTATCTTCTCTAGTAGACAGAAAGTGTCTCTTTTGGAGCTGTGAGCTGTGCAGCCTGGGATTAGGAGAGGGGTGATGCCAGCACTCACTTAACCAACCCTGTTGTCTCAGTAGGTTGCACATCCCCACTGGTGCACTGTATCTGGGCCCATGTCAACACTAGAACTCACCTAGAAGTTGCCATCTTTGTGGCCTAGACTTCCTTTCAAGTTTAATTATAGCTGCAGAGCTCCTTAGCTGGCACTGGGGAGGCTTGCAGGAACTGAAATTCAGACTCCTGGGATCAGTGATTTTCATCTGTCTAAAGCTGGTTTAAATGCTCCCTCTGTGGGTGGGTGTCTGCTGAGTTTGTTTTGGTTTGTTTTCTGTTATAATAGAGCATCACTGAGTTTAATGGCTCAAAATTGCTGCAATCTCCCTCTCCCAGTATCACAGAAATGCTCTCCGCATCATGCCACTGCTGCCAGGGTGTGGGGGAGGGGTAGGATCAGTGAGTCAAGACTGTTTTTCCTATCTCTTCAGTGCTTCTTTCAGTGATAGGAAGTTAAAACCAGGTACTGTGATTGCTCATCTGACTTTTGTTTTTTGTAAAGGTGCTTTTTTGTGTGTAGATCATGGTTAAATTGGTGTCTTTGTGGTGGGAACAATTGGTAAAGCCTTCTATTCCACCATCTTGCTCCACCCCAAGTCTATATGTTCATCTTCTATTTTGAAGAATCACTGAATTTGCTTATTAGTTATCCTGACAGTTTCTTGGTAGCATTTTTAGTGATTTTTATATATGAGACCATGATATCTGCAAACAGAAACAATTTATTTCTTCCTTTCCAATCTTGATGTCTTTTATTTCTTTCTAATGCCTAATTTTTCTGACTAGGACTTTAAGTACTATGCTTGAAGTTGCAAGATTGAGAATCCTTGTTGTGTTCCAGAGCCTATAGAAAAAGCTTTCTACTTTTCATTATTGAATGCAATAATAGCTGTGGGTTTGTCATATAAGACCTTCATTGTGTTGAGATAAAATTCTTCTATACCTAATTTGTTGAGAGTTTTTGTCATGAAAGAATGTTGAACTTTGTTCAATGCTTTTTTGGCACCTATTGATATTACTGTGCAATTTTTGTGCTTCATTCTGTTAATGTGGTTTATCACATTTATAAATTTGCATTTGTTAAACTATGCTTGCATGCCTGGGACAAATCCCACTCAATCATGTTGAATAATCTATTTAATGGACTGTTGGATTCCATTTGAGTTTTATTTTTGTGGTATCCTTCTCTGTCCTAGATGTCACAGTAAAGCCAATCTTATAAAATGAGTTCATCAGTATTTCAAAAGGGCCTGAGAAGTATTAATATTAGTTATTCTATAAAGTTTGGTAAAATTTTGCAGTAAGCCATCAGGTCCTGGGTTCTCCTCTGAGGGAAAATTTTTATTGATTCACTCTCCTTACTTGTTATTGACGTGTTTAGCTTTTCTGTTGCTTTTTGGTTCAAACATGACAGATAGTATGTGTCTAGAAATGTACCATTTCCTCTAGGTTATCAAATTTGTTGGTATATAACTGTTCATAATAGTATTTTTTGATAATTTACATTATTGGGGTACTAGCTGTCATGTATTCTCTTTATTTCTGATTATATTTATTTGAGTTTTTTGTCTGTATTTTTAAGTTAGTGTAGCTAAAGGTTTGTCAGTTTTATATTTTCAAAAAAACAACTGGGTTATATTAATCTTTCGTATTGATTTTCTAGTCTTCATTTCACCTATTTTTGCTATGATCTTTATTTTGTCTTTCTTCTCCTGACTTTAAGCTTAGATTTTTCTTCATTTACTAGTTCTCTGAGGTGTAATGTTAAGTTGTATATTTGGGAACTTTCTTCTTTTTTGTTGTAGACATTTATTGCTATAATCTTTCCTCTTAAAACTGCTTTTATTACATCCCATAAGTTCTTTGTGTATGTTGTGTTTCCATTTTTATTTGTCTCAAGATGCTTTTTAATTTCCCTTTTAGTTTCTTCTTTGATCAGTTTTTTGTTCAGGGGCATATTGTTTCATTTCCACGAATTTGTAAATTTTCCAAAATTTATTCTATTATAGATTTATAGCTTCATACCACTGTGGCCAGAAAACATACTTGTCATAATTTCATTCGTCTTGAATTTGTTAAGGCTTGTTTTGTGACCTAAAATATGATCTATCTTGATGAATGTTCTGTGTACAGAGGAAATAATGTGTATTTTGCTGCTGTTGGATGGGATGTTCTGTACATAGCTCTTAGATAAATTTGGTCTAAAGTGTAGTTGTCTCTCTCTCTTTTCAGGTTGCTTTATATATTTAGGTGCTCTGATGTTGGGTGCACATATATTTATAATTGTTATATCCTCTTGGTGAGTTGAATACTTTATCATTATATAAAGATATTTTCTGTATTATTTTATAGTTTTTGATCTAAAAATGTCAGTCAATTTTATCTAGAGTATCTATAGTTGTAGCTTCTGCTCTCTTTTGGTTTCAATTTGCATAGAATATCTTCTACTATCCCTTCACTTTCAAGATATGTATATCCTTTCAAATCAAGTGACTCTTTTACAGGCATCATATTGTTGGGTCTTCTTTATGTTTTAATCCATTCAGCCACTTTATTTGCTTTGATTAGAGAACTTAATCCACTTACATTTAAGGTAATTGTTGACTTGTAAGAACTTGCTACTGATACTGATATTTTGTTAATTGCTTTGTGATTATTTCATAGATTCATTTTTTTTCTTTCTCTATTGCTGTCTTCATTTGTAAATACATGGGTTTTTTTTCTAGTGGTGTGTATTGGTTCCTTACTTCTTATCTTTTGTGTATCTACTATACATTTTTGCACTGTGGTTACTATGAGTCTTATCACAAACACCTTATAGTTATAACAGGGTATTTAAAGCTGATAACATTTTAACATTGAATACATAAAAAACTGACTTTTACTCCACCTTACCCACATTTAGCATTTTTGATGTCACAGGATCTTTCTTTTTATATTGCACAGTCCTTAACAAGTTATTATAGCTATAATTACTTTTATGGTTTTGTATTTTAATTTTCATAGTAAAGATATAAGTGTAATAGAGTATTTTGAATTCGACAGCATACTTTTACCACTGAGTTTTATACTGTCATATGTTTTTTGTGTTACTATTTAGCATCCTTTTCTTCAGTTTAAAAAACTCCCTTTAGCATTTCTTGTAAGACAGGTCTGGTAGTGATTAACTCTCAGCTTTTGTTTATCTGGAAGTTTTTTTTTTTTCTCTTTTATTTCTTCGCCGGGTGCAGTATTCTTGGTTCAAAGTTGTTTTTCTTCAGCACTTTGAATGTATCTCCCACTCTCTCTTGGCCTGTGAGGTCTTTGCTGAGCAATCTGCTGTTGGCTTTATGGTGACTCCCTCAGATGTTACTTTGCTTCCTTGCTCTTTATGGCTTCAGGATTATCTCCTTATGATTGATTTTTACAGTTTGTTTAAATTATTTCTTGGTGTAGTCTTGTTTTGATTGAATCTGATTGGATAATTTTGCCCTTCCTGTATCTAGACATTAATATCTTTCTCCAAATTTAAAAAATTTTCTGCCATTATTTATTTAAGTAAACTTTCTACTCTTTCATCTTTTGCTTATCCTTCATGAATTATTATTTCTTGAAAATTTGTTCTTTTGATGCTGACCTTTAAATCCTGTGAGATGTCTTTTTTTAATTCTTTTTTTCCTTCTGAGTATATATTTTTAAATAACCTGTTTTCAAGTTCAGATCCTTTCTTCACTTTGATCATTTCTACTGTTGATGCTCTCTATTTCCTTTTCTATTTTGTTCATTGTATTTTTCAGCTCCAGAATTTCTATTTGGTTTTTTAAAAAAATAATTTTAATTTCTTATTAAATGTTTTATGTTGGTCATTTATTATTTTTCTGATTTCATTGAATTATTTCTCTGTATTTTCTTAATGTTTGTTGGGCTTTCTTGAAGCAATTATTTTGAATTTTTTATCTAGCAGTTTGTGTATCTCCATTTCTACTGGGAGATTATTCTATTCTTTTGGTGGTATTAGTATCCTTGGTTTGTCATGTATCATGTTGCCTTATACTGATCTTGGCACATTTGAAGATACAGGGACTTATTCTACTCTTTGCAGACTGTTCTTTGGTGAAAAAGACCTTTACCAGTCTTCTACTTGTCTAGAAATTCTTAGCAAGTTATTGGTGTGATTCAGGGCTGGCTTGCTGATGGAGTCCTTAGCCAAACTGGATTTGGCACACAGATAATCAGATATAAAGGCCTGGTGTCTAGGTCCTGAAGTCTGGATTCACTGGAGTGGACTTTTTAATTGGGTTTGTGGGAATTGGCCTAAATATTGGGTCCACAAGGCAGGCTTGGACCCTGTGTCCATGGGTACCAGCCTGAAGCCTGGTTTCACAGGTCCTGAACGTGCCCTGGCAATGGACTTTGTTCTTAGGGCCACTTGGATAAGCCTAAATCCTGAGTCCACAGGACGTAGCCTGGACCCTGGTTTGCCAGGGTGGTCTAGGAGCCTCAGTTTATGGGTTCCAACATGGCACTGGTGTCTATTTGGTGGGTCTGGACTTTAGGTATGATAGAACAGGCTTGGGCCCTGGGGTCCTCTGGAGCCTGGACCCATGGGCACTGGCCTCATGCCTGGGGTCAAGTTGGTGCTGGAACTGGTTCAAAGACTGGGTATGTGGGTCTTGGTCTGGAGCCTATGATTGCAGGTGTAGACCTGATGCCTGGAGTCATTGGGACTGGCCTGGAGCCTAGAGACTTGGGGACCAGCCTGGAGCCTATGTCAGCTAGAACCCTATTGGATGCTGGGTGTGCATGTCTAGGCCTAGAGGTTAGGTCTGGGAAGGCTGACCTGAATCCCAAGGCCTTGGAAACAATCATGGGACCAGCATACACAGGAGCAGTCCTGAACCCTAGGTCTACTTGTCAAGTGCTGATGTCTACAGTTACAGGCCTGAACCCTGAGTCTGCTGGAGCACAGATTTCCAGGGGCCAGCCTAGAGTGTGAGATTGCATGTATCAACCTAGCAGTTGGCAAGCCTGGAGCCTGTGTCTTCGTGTGCCTGTCTGGTTTTTGAAAACAGAGTAACCATTTGTGTCTGAGCTGGGCCTTAAGACTGAGGCATAGGGCTGGCCTTGTATTGAGTGGGTTTTGAGTATATATCCACAGGGGCTGGACTGGAGGATGGGTGTACAGGTGCTGGTCTGATGACTAGGGCTGCAAGAGTTGGTTTCTTGCTAGGACAGGCTTAAAGGCTGGGGCCACTTCTGGTTCTGGGGTGATTTACAGTCAGTGGCCACCTGGCAATAAAGACAGTACAGATTTCAGGGTTTCTGGGGCCAGCTGAGTGCTGAGGGTAGTCTGGAGCCTGGGGCCACTGAGGTCAGAACTGTAGTGGGACCACCTAAAGACTGAATCTGCAACACAGTCCTGGAGCTGGGGCAGGCCTGGATTCATAGCTCATTGGTACTGGTCAGGAGTCTGGGGCTATGGAGACCTGCCTCACACTGAGTTTTAATAGGGAAGGCCAGTGTTGGAATCCATGGCAATGCCCGTTAATCTCTTCTTTCTCCTTTGCTCACTCAGAGGCTATTTCTGTTCATGCTCTGTTGCCTGTGATTGGATGAGGGGTAATAGAGGTAACAGGCAATATATGCTCTTATTCTTACCCTCTTCAATCTTATTTATTATATCTGTGCTTCACTCAGGTGCTGTAATCTATCACCTTGTTTCCTTTGTGCTTGTGAAGGTATTTTTGTGCACGAATAGTTGTTCAAATTGATGTTTCTGAGGGAGGACATGGGCTGAAGAGTCCTATTCCACCATCTTGCTGATGAAATTCATTGATATTATTTGAATTTTTAACTTTCAAAAAAAGTTTAATTAATTTTTTTTAACTACCACAGCTAACTTAATATTGGTTAAATACAAAAAGTCTCAGCATTTTTTATGGTATCAGGGTCACATTATTTTATCAAGTTAGGAAAGATATATAGAAATAGTATTAATGGTTTATATTTTTATGAATTCCAGAGGAACCACTGTCATTGTGTACAAATAATGCTAGTGTTCCTAGACTCAGGTAATCTAGATAAATCCTGTCATATCTCTCCCAATGCCCTCTCTCAGGTATGTATCAGATTTTTTATTATTATGCTTGAGTCTAGGAAGTAGTGATTTCTTTGGCTTTGTGATTCTCCTTAATACATTTGGAAATAGTTGTTAAACAATATTTTACCTTGTTTATCTTTTGTAGACTCTCATAGGCTTTCTAATAAACTACCTTCTGCTTTGTGTTATAGGCAGGATTTGGGAAATAAAGAAGTCTGACAAATATGAGATTGTTTCTCCTTGCAATATTTTCTACTATGTTTATACTGCAAATTATGTAGCTTTCCATAAGGCAGCAAAAAATACTACAGGCTGTGCATTCCTAATCTGAAAATTAAAAATGCAAATTGCACCTAAATCTAAAACATTTTGAGTGCCAACCTAACATCATTGCTTTCTGATGTTTCAATATACAAAAACTTTGTTTCATACACAAAACTATTTAAAAATATTTTATAAAATTACCTTCAGGCTATGTGTATGAGATGGATATGAAACACAAGTGAATTTTATATTTACACTTGGATCCCATCCACAGATATATCATAATGTAAACAAAAACATTATAAAATTAAAAAATTAGAAATTTGAAACAGTTCTGGTCCCGAGCATTTCAGACAAGGGAATCTCAACCTTCTTTTGAATTTAACTATGGTTTTCCTCATTTTTAAGTTTCTAAAGTAATCACTATGCCTTCATAACATTCAATGTATGTTATCACACATTTTCTACCTCCAATTTCTTGACAATACTGGGGGAAAACAGAGATCACTGTAGTCTTTTCACAGATTAGGTAGAGTTTCAAAGAGATTAAATAATACAGCTAGACAGTTTGGAAACAATATCATAGTAGTTCCAAGTATTTGGCTTTTCAGTTAGACACATATAGACTTGAATTGTAGCTTCATCTCTTATAGGCTATGTGGTCTACCAGCAAATTATTTAAGATCTAAGTGCCCTTTGTTGTTTCAATAGAGAAATGGAGATAATCAACTTTATGAGTTTGTAGTGAGGATTAAGGGAGATAAAACATACTAAATTCATGTTCATTATTATTATTATCACTATGAAACTTTTCTTTTGACACTCATTAATTCTGATGTGTCAGTTCTTACAGACCTGATTTTTCAAAGGGTTTGCAGTTAGACTCTTTAGAGGAAAATATACATGAATGCACATTTTCTCTATCTTCTTTTTCCACATTAATGATGTACTATGTTTTTGGATTTTCTTTGAAATTAAATAAAATATGGCTTAATATTTATGTAATATTAATATATAATATAATTTTTGGTGCTGATCAGGTTATTTTAAAAAGCATACGTCCAGGAATGCAGTTTTGGTTAATGTATTGCTTCAAATATGTAACTGATGAAATGCAGTGACAAAAAGTATTTGACTTTTCAATGATGCCATTATGACCTATAGATAACCTTTGCTTGAAATAAAGCTTTTGAAGAACAAAATCTCTTCTGAGAGCTTATGAATATTACAAAAGTAGGGTGTATGTGTTATAGTTTATTCATATCAATTGACAGGGAAAATTAAGAAAGTATTTTTAAATGAATGGGGAGAGTCTCAACATAAAATCCTCAAAAATAGAAAAAGATAAAATCCTCTGCTTAGAGGTAATGTTCAAAGTACTTTCAAAGGGTCCCTCATTAATTAATATATAAACAAAAAAAGCTATTTGCATTATTATCAACTGAGAAATGCATTATAAAATGTCCAACTAATTTTATTTCCCATTTATAATAATGAAACTACACACTTTTATTCTTTATTTAAATATGTTGTTTTAACATTAGATTATTTCAGGTAGACTCAGACTCAATGTTTAGCTGTAATAGAAGCTAATAGAGATTCTAAAAATGACACCCAGCCTGCTGTTTTCCACACAGAGTGAGTATTTACAAATAAGATTCTTCCTTGTTTTGTATTGCAACTCTAAATTGATGAGACATTTCCTTTTGGAGTCACTCACTATTCAAAGTCTTCTTAATTCCAAGCAAGTGTAGAAAATGTTTATAAAATTAAAAAAACAGTGTTAATCATTTTCTCTGGGCACATATGTATGTTTGTAAACAGAAAAAATCTGGAGGTATACACAATTAACCTAATAGTGGGAGTTACATTTTGGGAGTTTGGGTACAGGGAAAGGAGAATCTGATTAGCAAAGTAGGATTCAAGGGAGACTTTAGGTGTACTTATATTTTAAATTTGAAGATGAAAATGAATTTATGTATTATTTCTATAATTATCATTAAGTAAATTTAATATGGGGCTAATGGTGTAATTGAAGTGTCAAGACATTATAGGTACAACTGTTTCTAGCTCATTATGATAGAAAATGGACTAAGGCAAGGGTCCTTCATCTTACTTTCATTAAGCCACACACTACCTTTGCAGTCGAATTCCTTTTCATAAGACATTTTAATCTTCGCTATTTGTTGTTCTTCATAACAGCCTTAGATAGCTAGGCTTAATATTTTAGCTATTTTATATAGGTGGAAGCTTAGAGAAAGATGTGGAGGTTAATGCAACTCCATCTTGGATGCTAATCCACCATATTGGTTTCTGATTAACCCCAGTTTCAGGATGGCCTCTCAGATGTCCAGTTTATCTATTTTTCCTTGTGTAAGAGCATGTACGTACCATAATTCCAGACCTTAGGTCAAAGCAAACTTGATGTTATCATACTACAATTGTACCACACATCCCTTCTGCACCATATTTACCTATAGTGTATAAACCCTGGGTCTTGGGGGGTGATGCCACAGGGATCCACCATCTTGTCTCACTGCCACCCAAGACACAGACATAGCTTCTGTTCATAAATCCTTATTAAACTTTCTTTCTAAGAAACTGGATTTGTCAACCTCTTTCTTCTGACTCTCTACTTACTTGGACTTTCTCCTTAGGTTTCATAGACCTGCCCACCACAAAACAAAATGTTATGTGATTTACTGGCAAAAGTTAGTCTATGTATTATTTTAATTTCTGTTAAGTAAGAATGTCCTTAAAAGCAGGAACTTTATTACCCAAATAAATTTATGAGTGGATGATCACACCTAGTAAAGTGCTTTGGAGAGAGTAAGCACTGAATGAATTCTTGCAACTGAATATATGTTAAATATTAAATAATTGGTTCCAGGCACAGTGGCTTGCACCTGTAATCCTAGCTATGAGGGCAGAGTTGAAAGGATTGCTTGAGACCAGGAGTTTGAGACTGGTCTGGCAACATGGATATATCTCATCTTGAAAAAAAATGCAAAAAAAAAAATTGCCTGGCATGGTTTTGTGTGCCTGTAATCCCAACTACATGGGAGGCTGATGCAGGAGGATTCATTGATCTCAGTTGTTCAAGGCTGTAGTGAGCTTTGATTGCACCACTGCACTCCAGCTTAGATGACAGAGTGATACCAGAAGGAAGGAAAAAGAAAAAGAAACAAGAAAGAATGAAAGAACTAAAGCAAAGGAAAGGAAGGAAGGAAGGAAGGTTAAATAATTGCATAAATGTGTCATTGAAGTATTTTTCCCTAGTCATTAATCTATGAGAATAAAGACAAAAAAATCTTGTGTTGTCATCATGCTTTAAATGTGGTACATGTTGTTCAAGTTTGTTTGCACTAAAATGAAATTCAGAATGAATCACTTTCTTGACTGATTTTATTTTAGAGATGAAGAGCTGAGACCAAAAGTAAAAAAAATTAATTTTAACAATAAAGTTAAAAATTTGTCTTATTTAGTGAACATTCAGATCCTTTATTTGAGTTGCATTTGAACCTTCCAATAATCAAGCAAGGTAGTTACTTTTATTTTCTTCCTGGATATGTGGATAGTAAGACTGCATACGGGGATAATAAGAGTAAGAGTAGTTTAATAAATTACCCAATGCTTTGACCTTTAGATCTGGGCAAAATCCCACTTCTTCAAAAGATTCTGCCCTTTCCTGACATCCTTAAAGACTTTCCCCTCCTCAGTCTGTCCTATGACATTGCCTCAAATTATTTTTATTTTAACATTTTTTACTAGCTATTCTCCTATTGCTTATTCAATATCTGTCTCTATCTAGAAAATGTGTAAACTATATAAGAGAAGTGAACTTTGCCTGCTTTGTTCACCTAAAGGAGTATTCTGCATGGAGTTTACACTGAGTAACTGTTTAATGAATGAATAAATATAAAAAAAAATCTTGTTCAGGAGTTTACTCATGCCTTTTCAAAGAAGGAACTCTTTACAGGTGTGAAATTGTTTTCTCCAATGTCAAATTGCTTACCTTTAAACATAGCAGATCACTCTTATCTTACTCAGATGCTGCACCATTTCAAGTGCATCCATGAAAAATAACAATGAGAAAATATGCTCGATGTGAGCAACATTAGGTTTTTGATTAATGTTTATCAAAATGGAGGTTATATTTGGAAATAAAATCAAAATATTATTTTACTCCTCAGTGAGCAATCAGCATCTCTCAAAATGGATGCTTTAACAGCCCATCTATAAAAATTTTACCAATATTTATAAATGGCGTTTGTCTTGAAGATATCACTGTATTTGTAACTGTGAGATGAACAAAGTATCAATGTATTAAAATTTCCTCTCTTCATATTGTTTTGTCTTGACATTTCTTGCTTTGAAATTTGGGTTGCTGTTGTGCGTATATAAATAATGTGAGAAAAGCATTTTTATTTATATCTTGAAAATAACAACTAACTTGTTCATACTTTTAGAGTTTATATAATTTTTTATAGCAAAATACAGTATCTCATAGCAAAATATGACTCTTCTCCAAAGTTACTGGGAAAGAGCCTCTAACAGAGAGATAGTCCTCACTTTTTTTTTTTTAAATGTGAACTATCTGCTCTGCTATAGTTGGAATGCTGCAAAACCAATAAATTTTAATTCAGATGTGTAGGTTTTATGAGTCCTGGCAAGGTCTTAAATCATTTCTGAAATTAAAAAAAAAACTGAATAAAAATGAATGGGGCTAAGTGTTTTCTAACATAATAGCTTTAATATATAGGATAAAAAAAGAGAAATTATACCAAGAATCAGGAAAATCATAACTTAAGTGAGAAAAGACAATCAATTGATACTGACATAAAGATATTGAAAGAATGTGAAAAATATTTTCAAGTAACTGCCATAAAAATAGTCCAATAAATAGTTAAAAATTACTATAATATAAAAAATAGAGGATCTCAGCAAACAAAATGAAACTAAAATAAAGAACAATGGAAATTATAAAATTGAAAGATACAATAGAAATTAATAAAAACTTGCTGAATGGGCTCAATAATTGAGTGACAGAGGGAGAATAAGCAAACTTAAGGATCGATCAAATAGATGTACCTAATTTGAACCAAAATATAAATGAACAGATTCTTAGACACTTGTGACACAGTAACAAAAGAGGCAATATTCATATCATTTTAGTTGAAAAAGATGATAAAAAGCTTGAGACTAAAGAATATTTTAATGAACAATGTTTGAAAACTTCCCATAATTGGCAAAATATATAAAACCATAGATTCAAGAAGAAGTTAAAACCCTAGTAGGATAATTTTCCCCCAAAAATTAACCTCTAGACACATCATAATTAAACTTCTGAAAACCAAAGTCAAAGAAAAAAAGTCTTGAAAGTTGCCAGGGAGAAATAATGCATTAGCTCTAGGGGAACACCAATTCAAATGACGGCAGATTTCTTATCTGAAATCATGGAGGCCAGAAGGAAGTTGCACAATGTTTTCCAATTGCTGAAAAAAGAATTGCCGAAAAAAGAATTGCCCATCATAACCTCTATGTGGAGTAAATGAAATAAAGGGGAAATAGACACATATATTAATATTTTCTGTGATTAAAAATGATTTAAATGTGCCACATAAAAGAGAAGATTGGAAGATAAAATACACATAACAAAATTATATACTTCTAATAAACTTGATTCAAATTCAATGGCATAGATAGTTTGAAAGTAAATGAATGGAAAATATACCATAACAAAATTAATTTTAAAAATATCAGTAGTGTGTATATTAATATCAGATCAAATAGACTTCTACGCAAAGAAAATTACTAGAAACCAAGGAATATTGCATAATGATGAAAGACTCAATCCACTCAGAAAACAAAGTAATCCTAAACATGTATAAAGCAAACAGACAATCATCAAGGATATAAATGATCTGAATAACCAGTCAATCAACAGGATCTAACTGACCTAAACACTCAAACAACACTCAACCAATGAGAGCAGAATACACTGTTTTCAAGTGCTCATGAAACATTTACTCAGACCATATCCTCAGCCATAAAAAAAATTTGAAAAAAAATTTTTTAAGTTGACCTAACTCAGCATATTCTGTCACCATAATGGAATGAAATGAGAATAGCATAAAGACAAATGAAAATCTCAACACATATAGAAATTAAACAATACACGTCCAAATAATTCACATATCAAATAATTTTTTAAAAAACATAGAACTAAATGAAATATATGACCACATATCAAAATATTTGGGCTCCAACTAAACAGTGTGAGAGGCATCTATTTATTGCTTACAAATTACTAGCTTACACTAGGAAAAAAAAAAAGACCTCAAATTAACAATGTATGTTCCTACTTCATAGAATAGTAAAGAAGATCAAAGTAAACCTGGAAAAATCACAAGGAAGGAAAAAATAAAGATAAAAACATAAGTCAATAAGATTGAAAACAGAAAAACCACCAATAAAATTCATAAAACTAAAGGCTGGTTATTTAAAAAATTCGATAAAATGGATAGACCTCTGGCAAGACTGCAAAAAATAAAGATAAATAACACAAATTATTATCCCTTCAATTACACAGGTTTATCACTATAAATTCCAGTGCAATTGAAAGAGGCTAATAAGGGAATACTATGAACGAATTGAAGCTTATAAATTCAACAACTTAGGATAAATGAACTGATTCCTTAAAATTACAAATGCCCAAAATTTGAACCAAGATAAAATAGATTATAGATATTCCTATAGACGTTAAATAAATTGAATGTATAGTCAGAAAACTTCGCTCACGTAAAAAGCAAAAACAAAAATAAAACAAACAACTAAAAATCTTTAGGCTCAGATTATTTCACTAAATATTTCTACCAATTTTTGAAGAATTTATGCTGTTATTACACAAACTCTTCCACAAAATAAAAGAAAGACAAAATATTGAGGCCAGTATAGTTTTCCCTAGGGGACTGGTTCTTGGACCCTGATAAAATTTGCAGATGTCCAAGACCTTTGTATAAAATGGTGTAGTATGTGCATATAATCTATGCACATCCTCTCACATACTGGGCTTTACATCATTTTTAGATTACTGAAATAGCTAATACAATGTACATGCTATGTAAATAGTTGTTATACTGTATTTTTAAGTTTGTCTTATGTTTTACTGTTGTACTGTTATTTTTTATTCTTTTTTGGACATTTTTGATCTGTGGTTGGTTGACTCCACAGATGTGAAACCTGCAGATATGGAATGCCCACTGTATAAAGATGTGCACTCAAAATTTCTTGTTAAGGTTATTCATAGACATTTTAATCTGTTTCCAATGTGAATCAGATCTTTTCTCATAATCCTCCAATTTATTACTGGTGTACAAGAAAGCTCTTGATGTGGGTTGTTCATTTTACATCTAGACCTTCTCCTTTCAATTATAACAAAATTTCGGTTATCTTTGTCTTTATAGGGAGAAATTTGTCTGCAAATAAGGATGATTTTGCCTCTGTCCATATTTTATTGTATTAGCAATAAAGTTTAGTATTTAAGGAACAGAATCTGTATCTACATTGATTTGCCATGTGTTTTTTTTTTAACTTTCTTGTTCTAATATTTTGTTTTGTTATTTTTTAACTTTTTATTTTGGAATAATTAGACTTGCAGAAAAATTGGAAATATTATACAGAGAATTCCCTTATGCCCTTCATCCAGCTTTCTCTAATTGTATGTAACATTGTATATAACCACAGTGCCAATATCAAAACCAGGAAATAAACAGTAATGCAATACTATTAACTAAAGACTCCAGTCAAATATTGCTAGCTAATGTGCTCAATTTTTAGTTTTCCGAGTTGGGGTGCTAATAGATGAACTTTGAGACTGAAGGAAATAACATACATAACAATTCAGATATATTGCCAAATTGCATCACCAAAAGCTTGAACCAATTTGAACCAACTCTGCAGGAAGATTCCCATCACAAAGAGTTCACAGAGTTCATGGTCATCTCTTATTTTATTGCTGTTTATTTGTAGTTTATTGGTTACTAATGAACACAAACCTTGCTTTATCCTCCAAAGTTGTTTATTGCCTAATCTTGTAAAGTATTTTTTCTGGTCAATTGTTCACAGTTGTTGTACATACACTATTGATATCTTTATGTGAACATGTAGTCACACATTTCTGTTGGAAATGTATTTTTAAGTCTATTGTCTGTATTTTCAATTTGTTAATTATAAACAATTTCAAAAGATATGTATTATGTTGATACGGTTAGCCTTTGTGTCCTCACCCAAATCTCATCTTGAATTGTAATCCCCATAATCCCCATAATCCCCACATGTCAAGGGAGAGACCAAGTAGAAGTAATTAAATCATAGGAGTGGTTTCCTCCATGCTGTTCTCTTGATAGTGAGTTCTCACGAGATCTGATGGTTTTATAAAGGGTTCCTCCCCCTTCACTCAGTGCTTCCTGCCACCTGTGAAGAAAGTGCCTTGCTTCCGCTTCACCTTCTGCCATGATTATAAGCTTCCTGAGGCCTCCTGAGCCTTGTTGAATTGTGTCAATTAAACATCTTTCCTTTATAAATTACCCAGTCTCAGGCTGTTCTTTATAGCAGCATGAAGACAGACTAATATGTATATAAATATAATTTTTGAGCTAGAGTATTTAAAAAAAAAGATGTCTTCAACCAAGAGAGTTTATTCCCTATCAGTAACTCTATTTCTAGTTTTATATAAAGATTTACGACCTCTGCTGACATGTCTTTTGTACTTTATGCCAAAAGAATATGTCCTTTTTTAATCCTATATTTTCTTAGGTGAGGCTTGGGAGACATAAGCTAGTCTATTTCTCATTTCCAGTAGATAAATTTTTTCCAGGGGTTGATCTAAAGTGGGGAAGATTCGGATTCACCACATTCAGATTCTTTAGTTTGCATAATTTCTTGGAAACCACAAATCTTTAATTGCATTGCCATCTCTCAAAGTTTCTAATACGTACACATCATAACAGTTTTTTTCTTCTTCTTTGATATATTATGGAGTAATAGTTTTCTAGTATGTAAGGGGAATTTTCCCTTTGGAGAGATGAAACATTTTTGCAAGACATGCCAAGTGGTTTAAGATGTCCTTCTGTTAGGAAAATAAAAGGCAAGGCTGAATAAGTGGGGAAAAAGTGGAGGTCCTCTGTCACATCTGTCTATAGTGTGTCTATGTACAAGCTTGGTCTGATTTAAGCCTCCTCTGTATGGTAGATTCTTCTTGGTCATTAGGTTGATTGCTTCCTATCTATGGACTTGAAAACATGAATTTTGGCTGATACTCAACCAGCACTCCCTAGTACAGTCATACAGATATAGCCTGTCTAGCTCCTGACGGTCATGATTTTGAATTATCAGAACCTAAAATACATTTGTTATTAAAAGTTTTCTGAGGAATGCTTCCTGAAACCATCTCTAATTTTTACTCTTCACATTCAGTATTATTTGTACAGGTTTCTGGCTTTCTCCCAAAACAAATGTTGGTAGGAAAAAAATCAAGAGTTCATCATGCAGATCCTCAACCCATAAATTAAATGGCCTTTTAAACATTAATTTACACTTTAGCTTCTATTAGCTGAATAATTTTTGCTGTTGTGTTAGCCTGTTCTTGCATTGCTGTAAAGAAATATCTGAAATATCTTAAACTGCGTAATTTATAAAGAAAAAGGTTTAATTATTTCATAGTTCAGCAGTCTATACAGGAAGCATGGCATCAGAATCCTCTCAGCTTCTGGTGAGGCATTAGGAAGCTTTTACTCATGGCAAAGGGGGAGCAGGCATCTCACATGGCAAGAACAAAAGCATTAGGGGAAGGGCAGGTACACATTTTTACACAACCAGATCCTATGTGAACTCAGAGCAACAGCTCACTTATCATCAAGGAGATAGCTCAAGCAAGTCATGAGGGATTCACTGCCATGATCCAAATCCCTCCCAGCAGGCCCCACCTCCAACACTGCGGATTACATTTCAGCACGAGATTTAGGTGGAGACAAATATATCAGTCCAAACTATATCAGTCCTAGCTAGAGATATCATTAAAACAATTTGAGAAATGGCTTCTTAATTATTTAGGTAGATAGCATTGTTACATATACTATTTATATATGTGTGTGTGTGTGTGTGTGTGTGTGTATGTTTTTCCCCCAATGATAACACTTTGCAAAATTATAATCCAATTCCATGGCCTATATTTTGACATTGATATAATCTACTAATTTTATTCAGATTTTCCTAATTTTACTTGTATTCATTTGTGTATGTATGTGTGTTTAATTCTATGTAAATTTTAATCACACATGGGTTCTTGTGTCTTCTACACAGTTAAGATACTGACAGTTCCATCACCACAAGGACCCTTTGTGTTGCGCTTTTATACACATATCATCTCCTTCTGTCTGCCACCTCACCCTTATCCCTGACATCTGGCAACCACTAATCTGTTCTCCACTCCTAAAATTTTATCATTTCAAACCTGTAATATAAATGCTGTCATACGGTATATAACTTCTGGAAACTGGGTGTTTTCAATTAGCACAATTCTCTGGAGACACATCCAAGTCTTTGTGGGTATCAATAGTTCATTCTTTCTTATTTCTGAGTACTATTCCATAGCTTGTATGTATCACTCTTTGTTCAGTCATTCATGTTGAAGTACATCTGGGCTGTGCCTAGCTTTTGACTAATAAAAAAACTGCTATGTAAATTTATGTACAGGTTTTTGTGTGACCATATGGTTTCATTTCTTTGGAATAAACTCCTGAGAGTGCCATTGTTGGGTAGTACAGCAATTTGAATGTTTAGTTTTTATAAAACTAAAACTGTTTTATAGTTTTATAGAAACTAAAACTGTTTTTCTTGGTAGTTCCATCATTTTACATTCCCATCAGCAATGTGTAATTGAGCCAAATTAATTTTTAATTGTTCCCAAATTTATATTTGTATTTTAGAAAATATTTTTCTTTCTATTGTTCTTATCACTTTTATTACTGTTATAATTTTATGTTTTTTTTCAGGATCCAATAGTAGAAAAAACTAGAACAAGGTTTTTTCTGAAGGCAGCTGAATGAGAAATGATTAGTAGAAAAGACCGGAGATTTACAAAGTGGCAGGTGCTGGAGGCTGCCTGGACTCACATGCTTCCAGGGGTTTCCTTCACTAGATGGTGGCCTCTACATGAATAGCAATTGTCCACCACATGGTCAATTCAAATCCTGTCTCAAAACAAAACAAAAATCAAAACAAAACTACAAATTACTGCATGTCATGGTTGTTTTCAAAGGATCAAAAGTGAAAATATTAAATATGCGAATGCCAAAGGTATATTAAAAAAGAAGACAGGAAAGGACAAAGGAGCTGAAATTAACTGAACTAGAATTCTGGAGTCTTAGGTTCTCATTACCCCCTGCCACTGACTGCTGTGTGAGTGCACTCAGCTCACTCACTCTGTTTTGTCTCTCAGCCAACTCTATACTCCTCCACAGAGGCTTACGTTTTTTCCCTGGCAATTAAAATGAATTGAGTGATTTTGTCATTTACATTAACATTATAGAAAATACATCAAATAAGAAACTAAAATAATTTTTAGGCTTTCATTGGGTTTATAAAATTAATTTTCCCTCTGTGAGAGTTTGTTGTAACATGTTCCACAACCTACAAATAGGAGTAGTTTATACAATGCTATTCAGATTCTCGGAGGCTGACAGATTTTGGGGGGATGGAGAGGATGGGGGAAGTATAGATTATCAACAAGTTACTGATAAATACTCTGGTAACCTATGGAAATCTAATCTTATCTGTGTCCTAAAAAATAAAAAATTAATTAACAGCAAGGACATATATATTGCTTTCAGTATTCATAATTCTGGTGATTGAAAATTAATTAAAATCAATTAATAGAAATTAATAGAAATAGAATATTGTATAACCTTAAAAATAAAATTAATATGGTTAGTGAAACCCAAGTGATTTTATGTATTAAACATGTCAGTGTTGTGAAATATGTGGTAGGAATTTAATTTATGCAAGTTCATTAAATTGCATTTGGTTGCTACATCAAACATTCAAAAAATATTGAGAGTATATGATGATTCATTGTATAAAAATGAACATTGATTGCATTTACAAAATAATTAGAGTTATTTTATCATTCCAGAAAATTATTTTCAATGGGCCAGTGGGATTTTCATTTTCAATATGAAAGAAGAATAAGCGCACAAAACTTTCCTTGGAATTCTAACCTCAGACACTGCTAATATTTCCAGGTTATCATTTTTCTTGCCAACAACTGGTTATTGACCTCTGATGCAAAGACAAGGAAAACTCGGAAATCACATTTAGGTCAACTAATTTATTTTTTTTTAACTGTGAAATCAGGAGCCTTAATCACATTAGTGATGCCCGACCATTCTGTTTCAATTCCAGGGCTGTCTAGTGAAACTAATGAACTGTCTTGGTGGCTTCAAAGCAGAGCCAGGGTCTCACAGGCCAGTTGTGAATTACGAGCACATTTCCTTTTATTGCCCATAAATCTTTTTCAGTTTTATATTCACAGTAGCTTAAAACACCTAAATTCACATTGATGACTGTGCAGCAGTGCTCTGGATGTTTGGGATGAATAGTGGAGTTAAGTATATCTCCTATTTTTAAAAAATACATTTTCAGTACAGCCTAACCTTAATTACAGTAAATCAGACCTTATCTAGTGACAAGGTTGATAAATGTCAGAGCCTATTTTTCCAGTGCGTGTCATAATAACTCTGCACACTGCATCATACAATAATGTTGGGAGAGCAATGGACCTACAGTTAAATACAATAACATCAGGTTTGAAAGGTAATATTAGTTTTGACATGAAACCAATGCATGACTGGAGCTGAATGACTGAAGTCAGCGCCAAAGAATAGGTGTGGAGTTGATTTGGCCATTATATGCATGGAGTTTATGGGTAAGATTTTGATTACAAATGGAATTCCTCAGGGAGATGGCACAAAAAGAAATTAGTTTTAACATAGAAATTGGAGAAATGTCTAAAAAGACGCAAAAGAAGGAGAAACAATTAAGTTGAAGGCCACTGGAGCTTATATCCTATACTGAAAGAAAGGTAATGGACAGAGATGTAAATGTAAATGAAGGAGGCAGAAGTAGTGAGGGTTTTTCATCAGACAGCCATTTAAATGTGAGACAGAAATAAGATGCATAATCCAGGAGGAGGCAAGTACTAAATTAAATGAAAGCAGGTGAGGAAAGAGAAGTGGCTGGAAGGCAGTTCTAAAGGTTTAAAATAAACCTGAGGGAAGTGCTGCAGAGAGTGGTAGCCAGCTTATGTTTAACACTGCTCACTGAGTGAAGAAGGGGCAGATGGAATGAAAATAAACTGTAATGGCAAACGTGCATCAACAATGTGACTACACAATAGAATTAGCCATGACTCATTTTTCTCTAAGGTAGATGTTGATTAGCTGAGGAATCTCTGCCTCAATAATTTTTGTTTTTGTTTTGTTTTGAGACAGAGTCTCACTCTGTCACCCAGGCTGGAGTGCAATGGTGCATGTGATCTTGGTCAATGCAACCTGTGCCTCCCAGGTTCAAGCAGTTCTCTTGCCTCAGCCTCCTGAGTAGCTGGGATTACAGGTACCTGTCACCATGCCCAGCTAATTTTTGCATTTTTAGTAGAGACGGGAGTTCACCATGTTGGCTAGGCTGGTCTCGAACTCCTGACCTCAAGTGATCCTTGGCCTCCCAAAGTGCTGAGATTACAGGCATTGTCCACCACACACTCGGCTTGCCTAAACAATTTTTAATTTGTTTTTCTCCACACCCCTCTTCCCTACAACCTAGTTTTTGGCTGGAAGAGCTGTTCTAATAAAAATCTACTTGGTCTATTAAATCAATTTTTCCCTAGCTCTCGAATTTTTAGATGCTTTTTGCTAAGTTGATTGTCTTTAATAAATCCTTGAGAATGGGGTTATAGCTGTCACAGGGGTTCCTGGTGTGACCATTAACCATTCTGATGTGGATTTAACCTGTGCAATCTCAGGAAGGAGAGGACTAGGCCAGAGCAATGCATAGATGGTTTAAAACTTGTAGCTCAAATGGAACCCCAGACGTAAGATTTCCCTAAAAATACAATTATAGCAATGATCATTACTTAATACATCAATAATAATAATAATAATAACAGTAAAAGCCCCTATTTTGTGTTGAATATTTGTTATATGCCAAGGATTCTAATATGTGCTTTGCTATCTTTATCCATTTTAATCTTCCCACCAACCGTATGATTTAGATATTTTTTCTCCAACTCACAGTTGAGCACTCTGGAGTGGAGAGATTAAGAAACATCCCCAAGGTCACTCTCAGTAATTAAAAGAATTGTGATGCTTATCAGGTCTGCCTAGTGCCACAACCCAGGTTTGTAATGTGATAATATGGATTCATTTCACTGGATTAAGAATTGGATTAAGGATTGTCTCTTATATAAAAATACTGTAAGGTGTGGGATAATAATAAAATTATTCCATAACTCTGTATAAGCGAATACCTCATTTATTTTCAATTCAGAAGCCATGGGCTCAATAGAGTGGGAAACACAGGGCATTTATGAAGGGTCAATATGCACCAATGTTTAGTGAGAAAGTAGAAAGGAGACAGGGTAGTGCAAGCAAGTTTTCCCCATATCAGATTTTTGTTTAACTACGTTCTTGATGGGAGGTTTTTAAAAATATATTTATTTTTTAAATTGCTGTATAATAGTTGTACACATTTTTGGGGTATATATGATATTTGGATACAGGTATACAACATGTAATAATCAAATCAGAGGCTCAGTGCAGCCTCTGGTAACCACCATTCAACTCTTTACCTTCATGAGACCCACTTTATTAGCTCCTATATTATGAGTGAAAACATGAAATATTTGTCTTTCTATGCTTAACATAGTGACCTCCTGTTCCATCCATGTTGCCAAAAATGACATGATTTCATTCTTTTTTTCATATCTGAATACTATTCCATTGTGCATATATACCCCATTTTCTGTATTCATTCATGAACTGATGGACATTTAGGTTGATTCCATATTTTGGATATTGTGAATAGTGCTGCAATAAACATGTGAATACAGATCTCTTTGATACAAAGATTTTTTTTTGTTTGAGTATATATCCAGTGGGATTGCTGGATCATATGGTAGTTCTATTTTTAGTTATTTACTTATTTTTTTTGCAGAATCTCCATCCTTTTTTCCATAGTGGCTATACTAACTTACATTCCCACCAACAGTGTATTAACATTCTCCTGTCTCAGCATCCTTACAGCAATTTTGTTATTTTCTGTCTTTTTGACAATAACCATTTTAACTGAGGTGAGATTATATCTCATAGTGGTTTTGATTTGCATTTCCCCGATGATTAGTGATGTTAAACATTTTTTTTCATATATCTGTTGGCCATTTGTAAGTCTTCTTTTGAGAAATGTTTATTCAGGTCTTTTGCTTATTTTTAAGTTGCATTATTTCATTTTTTTGCTTCTGAGCTTTTTGAGTTTTTTATATATTCTGTTATTAAATCCCTTGCCAGAGGAATTGTTTAAAAATATTTTCTCCCATTTTGTAGATTATCTCTTCAATTTGTTGATTCTTTTATGCAGAAGTTTGGGTTTTTTTTGTTTTTGTTTTTGTGGTTTGTTTGTTTGTTTTTAACTTGATGTGATCCCATTTGTCAATTTTTGCTTTGGTTGCCCGTGGTTTTGAGGTCTTACTCAATAAGTCTTTGACCAGACACATTCAGACCACTGTCCTGAAGCATTTTACCAATGTTTTCTTCTAGTAGTTTCATAGTTTCATGTCTTCAATCTAAGTCTTTAGTCCATTTTGATTTTATTTTTGTGTATGGTGAAAGATACGAGTCTAATTTCATTCTTCTGTATATAAACATTCAGTTTCCCCAGAATCTTTTATTGAAGTGACTGCCTTTTCCCCAATATATGCTCTTGGCACCTTTGCTGAAAATGAGTTAATTGTAAATGTATGGAATTTTTCTGGGTTATCTATTGTGTTTCATGGTCTTTGTGTTTGTTTTTAATGACAATATTATGCTGTTTTAGTTACTGTAGCTTTGTAGTATAATTTGAAGATTTGAAGTGAGGTTGTGTGATGCCTCTCTGACTGGACTTTTTTTTTTTTTTTTTTTTTTTGAGATGGAATCTCACTCTGTCTCCCAGGCTGGAGTGCAGCGGTGTGGTCTCAGCTCATTGCAATCTCTGCCTCCTGGGTTCAAGCAATTCTCCTACCTCAGCTTCCTGAGTAGCTGGGATTACAAGCACGTGCCACCACACCCAGCTAATTTTTGTATTTTTAGTAGAGATGGGGTTTCACCATGTTGGCCAGGCTGGTCTCGAACTCCTGACCTCAGGTGATCTGCCTCCCCTTAGCCTCCCACAGTGCTGGAATTACAGGTGTTAGCCACCACACCCAGCCTCTGACTGGAGTTTTTTAAGATTAATTTATTTCTATGAGATAATAACAGCTATGCTGTTTCGTGGGGGAATTTTAAAACTTTCCACTAGAGCCTCAATCCTGTGATCTTTTAATAATATAATAAAAGTTATATTAATCATAATTTATTTGTTTAATATGTCCTTAATAGTAGCAATTATTATAGTAGTCCTATTTTGTGTTGAACATTCATTATATGTCAGAAATTCTCATTTGTGTTTTTATCATTTTATTCATTCTAATCCTCACACCCATCCTATAATAAAAATTGGCAAATATTTCAGGAAACATGAGTACCTAATGCATTAGTGCAATAAGGAATAGTATTAATGCCATCTCTGAATTAAGTTTGGGTCTATTAGAGACTAAAAAAATAAGGAGTAATGAGTGGCAATAAGGACCTTGACTAAAAATAAGAATTGGCTCAAGACCATATGTTATACCTAGATAAATATAAAGCCTTGTCCAGATGTGAGACATCAATGGGCTTTTATGTTTCTAAATAGACTTGTACAATTTCATGTTAAGATAACCACATAGAAATATTTCAGGTTAAAAACTAAAGGCACTAGAATCTGGGACTGAAACAGCTGTACAAAGGTTGTCTTGAAGGGGAGAAAGAGTCAAGACTTTGCAGGTCTGTGAATGAGGGGATTTTAAAAGCTGTTAAGTTTGGAAAGATTAATGATCCCCTAACATAATCTGTGATGCCATTGATGACCATATCTATGTCATGGTTCCTTTTCAAGGGGCCCAACAACCTAATGGTGCTCAAGGCCCCAAAAGGAATTAATTTAAGTATAAAATGGCAGACTTTACTATGGAGTCCAGTAACTGTTCTCAATCTGTACAGAGAGGAAAGATTTCTGGAAGGAAGCATGATGACTTCACTGACCTTTGATATATGAGAGAGCTAACTTGTGAAGAAAACTAGGATTTCATTTATGGCAATATGGCAGACTAGATATTGTTCATCCAAATGAAACAACTACAATGTTTGATAAGGTATTTAAAACATCCTTATAAATGCATTGCTGATCTGACATGAAAGCAAGAATCCTGCAGGGCTTATAAACAGGATGGAAGAAAATACTGCCAGAAGTGCATACTAAAGCCATTGTTTCCAGTCCTTTTCAGTAAGGGGTTTCTGCCTCACTCTGGAGTGCAGGCCTAGTGCAATGACATATAAATCTCTATATCTAGAATATTTTAAGTGTATATATATATATATATATATAATAAATTTAATAGAACATTAAGACGATGCATAGAATAAGCAGCAGAGTTTAATAGAGAGCTTGAAGACAGGAAAATACATTTAAAAAATTATTTAGGTTGCAAAGATGTGAAAATATAAAAGAGTATTTAAAAATCAGAGAAGAGAGAGTTAAAAGTTGCAACACATGTCTTTTCAGAGTTTCAGAATGATTTAAGAGTGAGAATGGGGAGATGGAATATTTGAGGTGAAACAGCAATCAGAAACCTAGGACGCCCCCTAAATCTCAATGATTAATAAAAGAGAATCCAGCTTAGACATCAACATTGATACTGTATTGCACAAAGTAAAAAAGAGATTGTTATTTTATTTATTTATTTATTTATTTATTTAGAGACACAGTCTTGCTCCGTCACCAGGCTGGAGTGCAGTGGCCCAATCTCGGCTCACTGCAACCTCCACTTCCTGGGTTCAAGCAATTCTCCTGCCTCAGCCCCCCGAGTAGCTGGGACTACAGGCGTGCGCCACCAAGCCCAGCTAATTTTTGTGTTTTTAGTAGAGACGGGATTTCACCATGTTGGCTAGGATGGTCTCGATCTCTTGACCTTATGATCCGCCCGCCTCGGCCTCCCAAAGTGCTGGGATTACAGGCGTGAGCCACTGTGCCCTGCTGAGATAGTTATCTTAAAAGTATCCAGAGAGAAAACAGAAATCACCTCCAATCTCATCACAATTAGTTTCATAATTGCTCCTTAATAATACCAGTAGTAACTGGAAGAGTGAAATATCTTAGAAATTCTGAGAGAAAGTAATTATAGTTAAGAATACTGTGCTGTGTACTTAAAATTTGCTAGCAGAATAGATCCTAAATGTACTCATTACACACACACACACACACACACACACACACACACACAGAGGTAATTGTGTGAGTGATGGATATGTTAATTAGCTTGGTTGTGGCAATCATTTCACAATGTATACACATATGAAAACATTATGTTGTACATTTTAAATATATGCAATATCTGTTTGTCAAGTATACCTAAATAAAGTTGGAAAAAGAGAGTTCAATATCCAGAAACGTTATCTTTTAAGAATTAGGGAACAAGCAGATACAGAATGACATTCTAAGGTAGGAATTAGTCTCAGAGAGATTTGTGGTCAATACCAGAATGAAGGTTGGACAAAGATACTGGCAAATACGTGGGTAACTTTGAAACAACATTGTGTAAAACAATAATAATTCCTACGTTTGTAAGGAGGAAAAGAATAAAAACAAAATGCTGAACTAGAAAAGCTTATACATTGATAGAAGAGTGATCATAGTTAATGCATTTTATGACTCTTGTTTCGTTGGAGAGGACAGTAAAATATATTGACTCTCCTTTGAATTTAAGTTAAGAATGCATTTTAAATAGGAATTCAGCCACGTTGGAGGATTATTGACATTTTCTTAAACGGTTAAATATACATCTACCCTATGACCCAATAACTTTATTACTAGATATTTATCTAAAAGAAATAAAAATCTTGGATTTGAAAGAAAGAGCATTTAACCTGTTTATAGCAGTTTTGTTCGTAATAGCCCCAAACTGGAAATAATCCTGATGGCCATGAATAGGAAAATGTCTTTTAATAAAACAAAAACAAAAATCAAGCACTAAAGTACATTCCTACAATGGAATACTACCCATGAATTTAAGTAACAAATAACTGATATACACAACATGAGTGAATTTTGAAAACATTATGTTGAGTGAAAGAAGACCAATATAAAAGAGAATATACTGTAGACTTGACCTATATAAAGCTCTTTTACAGATAAAACTAACTTGTTCTGATAGCAGTCAGATGAGAGATGTTTCATTAAATGGTGATTGGCACTGACTGAAAAGTGCACAAGAGATCTTTCTGGAAATGTTCTATTTATTGATGGATTATAGATTATGCAGGTATATTTTCAAAATAATCAAATTATACACTTAAAATCTGTGCTATTCAATGTATGTAAATATGCCTCAATAAAATGATACATAAAGCATGTCATTTATCAACAAGTAGAGGGAAAAAGAATGAGAAAATAAAATTACAAATGCAATACTTGCCAAAGAAGGCAAGAAAGTAAGAAAAGAAAGAGAATCAAATTGGAAAAAGGGGAAAAGTGGAAAGCGCAAAATAAGAAGAAAGGCATAAACTCACACTTAATGTACATACAGTCTCTAAAAAAAAGACAGATTTTCACCTCTTACATATTGAGAAAATGTAGTCATATGGTATTTTCATATATATATGAATATATAAAGAAAAAGAAGGATTGAAAGTCAAAGGGTAGGAAAAATATATTAGGTAAAATGCAGCTTAAAGAAAGATGGTATGAATGGATTAATATCAGAAAGATGGACAATAAGGCAAAAAGCACTACCATAAATAAAATGATAAAAAGCTAAACTGAGCAAATATATGTATAAAAATTCTGAACTGTATTCTACTAATTATAATTACATAGCCTCCATACATATAAAACAAGGAAAAATGTTCATATGCTATGAACATAAATATAATAATATAATATTAAACCCAGCCATTGGAAAATAGCCATGGCACACTAATCTAGATCAAAATTGTTCACATTCTGATGTAAAAATTACCCTAAAATATTTCAAAAATTTGAATAATGCAAACTTCATTCTCCGAATAAAGTGCAATTAAATTAAAATCCACAGTTAGATATAAGGATAAGGATATATAACATATATGCCTATATGTGTGCATATAATTGCATATATATGCATGCAAATAATTACACATTAAATACAATTAAGTTAAATCCAGTTATAAGCAACTAAAAAGTTACAAAATATCTAGAAGTTACTAAAAGATACTTTTTCAACGACTCATGGCGTTTGAAGAAAAATTGAAAACGGAAATTAGATAACGTTTGTAAGTCAGCTGTAATGCTGTATTTTTTTTTTTTTTTTTTTTTGAGACGGAGTCTCGCTCTGTCGCCCAGGCCGGACTGCGGACTGCAGTGGTGCAATCTCGGCTCACTGCAAGCTCCGCTTCCCGGGTTCACGCCATTCTCCTGCCTCAGCCTCCCGAGTAGCTGGGACTACAGGCGCCCGCCACCGCGCCCGGCTAATTTTTTGTATTTTTAGTAGAGACGGGGTTTCACCTTGTTAGCCAGGATGGTCTCGATCTCCTCACCTCATGATCCACCCGCCTCGGCCTCCCAAAGTGCTGGGATTACAGGCGTGAGCCACCGCGCCCGGCCAATGCTGTATTTTTAAGTGGTATATTTCCAAGGAATATGAACCTCCTCCTGACCCACTGAAGATTTTGGCGTGTGGCAGTTCATGTGGATCAATCTAGCAGCAGAGTGCAGACTGTGGTTAAGGTTGTTTTGAGAGAACACAATTAGAAATAAAATATGATTAAGGCCTGAGAATAGTAAAACAGAAACGGGGAAAAGTTCAGAAAATTTTACAGAATACAATGAATACCAAATACGTCATGTGATCATTTGGTACTCAGATGAAGAGTATCATGAAAAGAAGCCCAGGACTGCTGTGACGTTTCTAACTTTGATGTTTGCAGGATGGGATGGTGGTATCTTTTATGGTGTTGTGAAATACAGGAGATAGGACAGGTTTGAGGAAAGGTGATAGGTTCAGATTTGAAAGTGTTGATTTTGAGATGGCTGCAAATAAATTTACATTGTGAAATGTCTGAGAAGCTCAAATGTCAATGTGGTGAAGAGGAAGAGTCATAATATCAGATGCCCCAGAGAGAACACAAGATGAAGTTTCCTGGTACCAACACATTGGGTTTGGCTACACTGAGACCACTGGTCGCCCTCTTGGAAACAAGTTCAGCAAGGCAGGTGGGGTTTAGAACCTGTCTGTTTTGCACTGAAATATAAAAGAGAAATGAGAAACCAGAGACGCTGATTACAGTCCTTTCTTTAAAGAAGTTTGACTAGATGGGAAGAAAAAAAGGAGAGAACTGGAGCTTTAACAACATGAATTCCTTTTAAGAATGGGACAGAACTGAGCATATATATAGTCTGGGAGAAAGGAGTCGATACAGAGGAAGATATTAAAGACGAAAGAGAGAAGAGGATTTTTATTGGAAAAAGATTCTAGAAGAAGGCAGATGAAATCAAAGGCATTAATGAAGGAGTTGGCCTCAAATAGGATAGGTTTTCTCAACCTTTGTGGCTAGAAACAGGAAGTGATTAAGGATGTGGAGATAAATAATTTTTTCTGGAGGGAGCTGAAAGTTGAATGTGCTTCATACATAAATGCTATTAAAAAAATATGGATGGGGATCTTTTCTTACGATTCTTTTTTAAGTAGTCTGCTGCCCCAACTTTTAAGATTTAGTGGGGGAATCAGGGAAAATGTGAAACATGTTAACCTCACTCAAAGCTTTTCAATTGCCTCATCGTCCTCAAAATAATTTACTTATCTGTTTATATTGCGGCTGGTGATGTACCTCATTACACTCCAGGAAATGTGTGTTAATTTGCTCTAGGCACATGTAACATTTTACATTAAAAGCAGTTTTTGTTAGAAGAAGGTCTTTCTCTTTGAACAGTGGTATTGAGGAAGAGAGGCAAAATATATTTTCCTTACACATACTATGGACAAAATGAAAATCACTCTTTGTTCTAGTAACAGATACCTCTTTTAATTGGCATCTTTGTTACTAGCTTTGGATGCTTGTTTTCACTAATATAGGGATTTGGAAGGACAGGAGGCTTTGTGTCACTTCAATCTGTAGTTTACTCAGAATTTCTTAGAAACTTCTTTAAATTGCTCGGGGTTAGCTCTTAGTGTACATAAGTACAGCAATGTATACATCTTTATGGGGGGAATTGGGGGTTGGTTTCAAGTAATTGTGTCAACATTTCAAAAAGATGAGTTGTCAACAAAAGTTGAATATTCTCCTTTATCCGCTTGTCTCTGGAAATGATAAACACCTTCTCAAAGTTTAATTTAAAAATGAATACATCCCAGCACCTCCTGCTGCACCAAGATAAGTTTCAGAATTATTTTTAATCAATTAGGTAATTGTATTTAAAGAAATTTTATCAGGCATTTATATTAAGAAGCCAAATGGAAACTCAGTGTACAATCCATAAACACACAACCATGAACGCCGTCTTAAAGATACACAGGATATTTTGTTAGTCAGAAGCAGCAGAAGGTGAGCACGAGGAAGTTAGATGTAGCTGAGTTATAGAAGATGCACAGTTTGTTTTTAAGTGTATCAGGCAAATTGCTTTATGTTGCCAGTGGTGTGTAGGCCACCTTATATATATACTTGATCTAATTTAATCTTTGGAATAATTTGATGAGGTAAGAACTATTCTGATTCTGCATATAAGGATACAGAGACTCAGAATTTAAACAACTTGCCAAAATTCTCATGTCAAAGCAGGGATTTGAGACAAACATAATATGCGTCATTTGCCTTAAATTTATACACTTATTTCCCCACCCACACCTGCTTCTGAATCTTAGCCATAATGAGAATTGTGCATTTTCAGAGTGAAGTAAATTACATGAAAAGTAGAGGGAACAGATAGAGCAGGATCTTTATCTGTGTGAGGGAATAGTGTGGACTCTGGGAAGGATTTAAAAGGGATAGTCAGAATCAGCTTTTTGTAACTATGTTTTCTGTGACTTTAGACTCTACCTCCTTAATAAAAGCCAGCCTGGCCCACAGGGGTAATTTCAGAAGTTTAGGATGATGAGGATTTCAAAAGTTTAGAATGATGAATATAGTTTCTACCTCATGTAGTTTCATCAGCAATCTTCATCTTCTTAAACTTCTGAAATTTAGGATTTCAGAAAGCTTAGTGCTCAGAATTTACCTCAACCAACATGCATCTTTAGTAAGTAGTATTCAGAGAGTATTAGAAAAATCACAAATTGGTGCTTTCTGCTTGGGGCTACAGGAAATTGTAGTGGAAAAGGCCTATTTCCTACCAATAGAACCAATTCATGCATCTGTAGATCATCTTCTAGGCTAATAGCAGAATTCGTGATAAATAATAGGCAATTTAGGTTGTTTTGGAGCGTTTGCTCTTTATAATAAATATTTAGGGAATGGAGTAAAATATTTATTTAAATATTAAACACTGTGTGATTCAAATGTTTCAATTCCTTTGCTATCTCCCCTGATGGACTACCAATAGCGCAAGTGTCTGTGACATGAACATAAGAGGGAGAATGTAAGTACAACACCATCAGTCTGGTAGAATGACTCTTTTACCCCAGCACTTTCTGGGGCAGAGGTGGGAGAATTACCTGAGCCTAGAACTTCCAGGTCAGCCTCGGCAACATACCAAGGCCTGGACCCTACTAAAAACCAAAGAAACAAACAAAAACCCCCAAACCAAAACCAAACAAAACATTTAGCAGGGCGTGATAGTGTGTGTCTGTAGTCCCAGCTACTGTGGGGGTGAGAGGATTGCTTGAGCCTAGAGTTTGTGGTTGTAGTGAGCTATGAGCATGCCAGTCACTGCACTCCAGCCTGGGCAAAAGAGACCTTGTCTAAAAAAAAAAGTACAACACTGTTATGATTTATTTTTAACTGCTTAGCAGTTCCTAAAGCCCACGTCTTAGAGGCCTTCCTATTACCTTGGATGTACATACTGTATTTTTAGCAGCTTTCATGACATAAGCATAATACAGTTCAATGTGTCTAAAGTGCATTTCTCCTCAGACTTGCTTACCCCATAGTACTTATTATTTTTCCCATTAACCTGATATGATATCACTAACTCTAGCAAAGTCATAGTCAAATAAATATATTGACCTAAAAATGAATTTTTATAGAATATTCCATTTAAAATTGTCAGTGCAGAGATGCTTCTTTTAAAAAGACTTTTTATAGGAATTAATATTAAAATACAGGATATATATATTTTGGAAGTAATTAACAACATGAGTTAAGTTTCATGCAAGAGATATTAGCATACATTTAGCTTTAATGTTTAGTATGTTTGGAATATTTATTATGTTCTACAAACTCATGAACAAGTTAAGCATGCAGCAACTGGTTAATGAGCACTTACTGAGTTTTTGGTGATGGGCTAACAATGTCACAGCATTATCTCATTTTATCGTTATAACAGTCTTAGGAGATTGTGCTATGTTATCCTCATGTTACAAATGATGAAACTTGTGTTTAGAAAGTTTTGAGTAACTCTCCGAAAGTCAAATAGTTAAAAAATGGAAGAAGTGGTGTCTGAATGCCATGTATTCAATGATATTATTTTAGTCAAAATGAAATCTGAGTGAATCATAGACCTAATATAAGAAAAAATTGCTTGTGACTTTGGGATAGGTGAATATTTTTCAAACACAAAAAGCATTATACATACAAGAAAAAATATTCTTAAATAAATAAAAAATATGTATTTAATAAAAGTAAAAACTTATACTCTGAAAGATACTGTTAAGGAAATAAAAAGATAAGACACAGACTGGAAGAAGATATTTGTGAAACATAAATCTGAGAAAAGACTTATACACAGAATATATAAAGAACACTCACAACTCCATAAGGTAAACAAATGCTTTATGAATTCAGAAAATGACAAATGAATATGTTGAATTCAATTTTTCCCCTAAATATTAGAAACCAAAATTTAGAAATTAATTTATATGATATATAATCTATAAAAATGAATGATTAAAAATAAAATAACCTGAGTAACTAGATCTAAATGTAGCAAAAGATGTGCATGATCATTATGGAGATATTCATAAAAATTATTGAAAATCATCTAATAAAATCTAAATAAATAGCGATACATCAGATTCCTGGATAGAAATACTTTATATCTCTTTTTTTAGCTATTTCCTACAGGAAGGAAGAAATATCTTATATCCTGAATACTGACTCTTCTTGTATTTGTTACACATTCAGGCAATTCCAAGCAAATCCCAAATCCCATTAAAGGTATGTTCACACATGCATGTGTGTGTGTGTATGTGTGTGATTGTGTTTGTGTGATTTGACCAGCTGGTCTAAACTTTACATAGAAGAGAAAAGGATTAAGATTAGTTAAGAAAATTTTGAAAAAAAGAAGTTGAGAGAATCTTCTATCAAATAAAGATTATGTTTAAAGGTATGGTAATTAAGAATATGGATTGACAAATAGAAATAAAGCATTGAAGAGAGCCCATACATACATAAAACTTGATAGATATATGATGGTAGTATCACTGAGATTATTGGAAAGAGAAAAGATTTTTTTTTTTTTTTTTTTTTTTGAGACAGAGTGTTGCTCTGTCGCCCAGGCTGGCGTGTAGTGGCGCCATCTCGGCTCACTGCAAGCTCCGCCTCCTGGGTTCATGCCATTCTCCTGCCTCAGCCTCCCGAGTAGCTGGGACTAACAGGCGCCCGCCACCACGCCCGGCTAATTTTTTTGTATTTTTAGTAGAGACAGGGTTTCACCACATTAGCCAGGATGGTCTTAATCTCCTGACCTCGTGATCCACCCACCTCGGCCTCCCAAAGTGCTGGGATTACAGGCGTGACCCACCACGCCTGGCCTGGAAAGAGAAAAGATATTTTAAAGAAATGTTGGAAGAATTGGCTATCCATGTGGAATAGATGATTTTAATTCCTTTTTTATACCACAGGCAATTATCAAATCCAGGTGAAATAAAAATGGAGTGCCCACTCTTCACTTTACTCAGGTCAATCCCATTTACAGCGGTTACCCTAAGTAATTATTATAGCACTCCCTTGTGCTATGAAAGGTGCCAAGATTTAGATGGTAAGTTATGTATTAAAAAACTGAATATGTCAAAACATACCTGTAAAGATGCAAAAGGAAAATCCAGAGAAATATTTGTATTATAGGGGTTGGCAAAGGATTTCATAAATGATAACCAAAAAACCCACACCATTTACATTGCAAAAATGATGGCACATTGCTATTTAGGATTTCTAGACAACATAGTTATAATTTATTTTTCTAATTAGAGTAATTTAGGAGTTAGGAATAAAGATAATACTCAGAGAAGCAGCAAGAAGAATAGGACAATTTCAACTTAGGAAAACTAGAGAAGATGGAAAATGAGAATTGTGGGAGCTCAGTTCAAGCTATTGAGAAGTCCTCATTCTTTCTAATTTTCTTTCTTTTTTCCTCCAAAAGCTAAAGGTTTTTTTTCCAGTTTTACTGATGTATACTTAGTATATAAAATTGCACATAATAAGGTATACAATTGTATATACATATATGTGTTCAAAATATATGTATATAGTCATGTCACCATCTCTACAATTCAGCTAATAAACATATCTAGCACCTCCAAAAGTTTTCCTGTGTTCTTTTGTTCTTCTTTTATGGTAAGAACACAACATAAAATCCACCCTCTTAAATGTTTAACTACACAATACCTTATCACTAACTGTAAGCACTATGTTGTACAACAGATTTCTGGACCTTACTTATTTTGTATAAGTTCATCTTATGTTCTCTCTGGGGCATCTGATACAATAGGTTAGAATAATTTAATATTGTTAAAATGTACATAATACCCATAGTGAACCACAGAATCAACGTAAATTCCTTTTGAATTTCTAAGCATGGGTGAGATGACTAAAGCATGTGGAACATTGGAAGATGAGAACTTCCTAAAAACGTTTTTGTTTTTCTTGTCCCAATCTCTAGAGCCTCCTTGCAACAGTTTGCTGAGAATGATGGTTTCCAGCTTCATCCATGTCCCTACAAAGATATGAACTCATCATTTTTTATGGCTGCATAGTATTCCATTGTGTATATGTGCCACATTTTCTTAATCCAGTCTATCATTGTTGGACATTTGGTTAGTTCCAAGTCTTTGCTATTGTGAATAGTGCCGCAATAAACATGTGTGCATGTGTCTTTATAGCAGCATGATTTATAATCCTTTGGGTATATACCCAGTAATGGGATGGCTGGGTCAAATGGTATTTCTAGTTCTAGATCCCTGAGGAATCGCCACACTGACTTCCACAACGGTTGAACTAGTTTACAGTCCCACCAACAGTGGAAAAGTGTTTCTATTTCTCCACATCCTCTCCAGCACCTGTTGTTTCCTGACTTTTTAATGATTGCCATTCTAACTGGTGTGAGATGGTATCTCATTGTGGTTTTGATTTGCATTTCTCTGATGGCCAGTGATGATGAGCCTTTTTTCATGTGTCTTTTGGCTGCATAAATGTCTTCTTTTGAGAAGTGTCTGTTCATATCCTTTGCCCACTTTTTGATGGGGTTGTTTGTTTTTTTCCTGTAAATTTGTTTGAGTTCATTGTAGATTCTGGATATTAGCCCTTTGTCAGACGAGTAGGTTGTGAAGATTTTCTCCCATTCTGTAAGTTGCCTGTTCACTCTGATGGTAGTTTCTTTTGCTGTGCAGAAGCTCTTGAGTTTAATTAGATCCCATTTGTCAATTTTGGCTTTTGTTGCCATTGCTTTTGGTGTTTTAGACATGAAGTCCTTGCCCATGCCTATGTGCTGAATGGTATTGCCTAGGTTTTCTTCTAGGGTTTTTATGGTTTTAGGTCTAACTTTTAAGTCTTTAATCCATCTTGAATTAATTTTTGTATAAGGTGTAAGGAAGGGATCCAGTTCCAGCTTTCTACATATGGCTAGCCAGTTTTCCCAGCACCATTTATTAAATAGGGAATTCTTTCCCTATTTCTTGTTTTTGTCAGGTTTGTCAAAGATCAGATGGTTGTAGATATGCGGCATTATTTCTGAGGGCTCTGTTCTGTTCCATTGGTGTATATCTCTGTTTTGGTACCAGTACCATCCTGCTTTGGTTACTGTAGCCTTGTAGTATAGTTTGAAGTCAGGTAGCGTGATGCCTCCAGCTTCGTGCTTTTGGCTTAGGATTGACTTGGCAATGTGGGCTCTTTTTTGGTTCCATATGAACTTCAAAGTAGTTTTTTCCAATTCTGTGAAGAAAGTAATTGGTAGCTTGATGGGGATGGCATTGAATCTATTAATTACCTTTGGCAGTATGGCCATTTTCATGATATTGATTCTTCCTACCCATGAGCATGGAATGTTCTTCCATTTGTTTGTATCTTCTTTTATTTCATTGAGCAGTGGTTTGTAGTTCTCCTTGAAGAGGTCCTTCACGTCCCTTGTATGTTGGATTCCTAGGTATTTTATTCTCTTTGAAGCAATTGTGAATGGGAGTTCACTCATGATTTGGCTCTCTGTTTAGAGTAGAAAGAACATGCACTTAAAATAGAAGACTCTGGAAAATATGTGAAATTTACTTGAAAATATAAAATGATTTGTAAACAACTTTTAATACATCATTTTCTCTAAGTAAAACTCTATCAATTATTTTTGCTGGAGTTTGTGGCTTGGCACCTGCTTTTGGATAATTTGTGTTTATTTTCTTACCTCCTTTACCACAACCCCACCTGCTTGTTCAACAAAAGATTTGGGGAAAATCAATTCTCAATTTTATTTTGAATCTGACACAAAGGTACAGTAAAGCGTTTAGAAACATACTTTCAACTAAGTCAGGAAAACAGATTTTATGTTGATAATTTCAAATTTACACATAAAATGCAATTTCTTATAGCGTGAAATAGAGGCCAGTGTTGCTTCTTATATTTGATTTAAAAATAAGAACACAATTATTTTATTGTAATACAAACTTTGATTAGATGATACAATTGACCTTAGATATTATCTTCTTGCTCCTAGCATCTCTAACTTCTAGTTTCCGCATGATTGCATTTTTAGCCCTAAGCAGTGTTTATTACATGGTTCAAATCTGTCATTGTTGTTTAACTCTATGCTATAAAAGTCCTTAACTAAAGGACTTTTCATATCATCAGTGGGTGTGGTATTCATGCTTTTTTTCCTTGTTAAAATTGAAACATGAACCAGTAGAAAACATGAAGTTTTTTAAAAATTAGTTTTACTGTCCTCTATTGTATTATAATTTACCATCACAGAATGAAATTACCCAGAATTTAGTCTTCTAACAAATTGGCAGAAGGCAACATTGGTCCCCATGGTATGTAACTTACAGATCTATTCTCAAAATAAATTCTTTAAAAATAAATTACAGAACCTAGTTAAGAGTGTTACAGTGCATGGGAAGTAGCAATTAATGCTTAAAACATAAAAAGCTAAAATACTACCTTTTCTAACCTTTTAGCACAAAGGACCATATAAGAGCCAAGGCATTTCAGTAGGAAAACTGCATTTACTTGGTGTTCCTTGTTACTTTTGAACTCATTTAGTTGTAAAAAGAAAAATTAGTATAAAATAGACACCAACCAGAACTTCTGAATTTGCATTAATGAGGATATTTGAACTCTTAAAAAGTAATATGCACTATAAAGTATTAGACTGAGTTTTTAATGCTTCCTTGAAGAACACTATGATTACAGTAACACCAGCAGTGTATCTATTACCTCAAATTTAATAATATAGAAATGTGGGTTTGCAAATAAATATTAGAAATTTCCAATCTTAGAAACAATTTCTTTATATACCTATCTTTATATTCTCATAACTAATTTTAAATCAATATACATTTTGAATTTCTTTTTAAAATCTGACATGGTAAGGTTATAAGTCTAAAATAACATTTTAAATATTCCACATTGTTTAGAGCACATTTTCAATTTACTTTTAAGAATCTTGAACAGATTCTCCTTGACTTACTAAGGAGTTACATCCCAATGAACCCAACATAAGTCAAAAACATTGTAAGTCATTAATAAAGCCACTTTTAAATTGAAAAGCTCATAAGTCAAGCCATAGTAAGTCAGTACCTTCTGTACTTTTATATATCTCTTTTATATTCTGCAGTATTTAGAATTCTGGTACTATATTATTTTTGTTTACATATGGTACAGTCCTGGGCTCAGAATGGTTACTATCCATGTCTGCATCTTATCTATGTGTACAAGTAAGGTTTATAATTGGATGAGATACTCATGCCTTTCATTGTAGAGTAGAACTGATTTCATTACTCCATTCACTAGTAGTTATTATTTTTCTGCTGAGGATACTGTAATCTCTGCAGTATACTGTAAACTGTAAGGTTGATGGATTGCAAGACCAAAATGGATAATGTGTATCACAAGATCTCCAGTCTGTGCAGCAACATGGTGTTTGCTGAACACTCCTCACCACCTCGGTGACCGGCAAGCTACTTCAATCCTTTGCTCTGAAATTGTTTTTAGTATAGCCCCTCCTTCTCTCCTTGTGATAAGAATAATAGGCATTTGGACTGTGGATTTAATATATGCCAAGCATTATGTGAGGTGATTTCCATACATTTTTCTCAATCCTCACAACATTGTAAGGTAGGTATTATTATTAAGGAAGTGAAGCTCAGAGATGTTAAGACATAAACCCAAATAGTTAACGTAAAGAAACAGATTTTGAAAAAAAAATATTCTGCAGTCTACAGTCTGAACCATAGACTTTGTTACACATCGGTCTTGCAGATGTGTTGTTGATAAGGAAAGTTTAGGTCTATACACCGGCATAAACCATTGATTCTATCATTCATTTGCTCATGCATAGAGATCCTATAGAAAATCTAGTCCAAATTCTGACACACTAAGCTGGACTAAAATTTGATCACATTTTCCATCATGTTTACTACCCAATTCAAGGTCTCTTGACATCTGTAATTCTCCTTAACTTTCTCTCTCCAGTCCCATTTAGGATATATTGAATAAAAAGTGGGCATTATTCCCCTTGGGGTTAGTCACCAACTTATTTTTGAAGAGGTTAATTTCACATTTAGTCTGCCTTACTGACTTCCCAATTTAGTCCCAATTTTGAAATGGGTATACAATTTATTCCCTAGCCTTTGAAGCTAATGTATAAAGGGAATTATTAAAATTTGAGTACAAGAACAAGTGCATCATAGATTGAAATTTGCTCCTCACCTACATCTCTGGGCTCTAGGTATATTTTAATTTTATTGAACATTTGTTTGACCATGGGTTTGATTTCAATAAAAGGCTGATTTATAATATTCCTGTTTTTTAATCTTTTCATTTCATTTAAAGGACTTGGTCAAGCATAAAATATCTAGAAGTCAGGCATCTCTCTACTTCAATGGTAAAGCAATATCCTTTGTAAGAAGAAAATATTTTCTTCAACTTCAATTTTTTGTTCCTTGAAAAAATTAAGATCATACAATATCAATTTGTTCTATGAAAATTGAGAGAAAACAATTGCATAGATATGTTCAACTTCAGAAAAACAATTATTTGGAAAAATTTATCTAATAATTGGTATTAGTAACCCCCCATCACTAAGCCTACACACGTTTTATATTTTACTTTTTCATTTTTATTTATTTCATATAGTCACATATTTCATAAACTTGCATGGGTCAGATCAACTGACTCACTTTTTCCTATTGCCCTGTACATTTTCTTGTGAAAGCCTCTGACTGTGATACTGTTTATTTAATAAATTGAAATCCAATATTAGCAAAGCCAATGATTTATCTTTGTTAATCAGTCTCTCTGAAGGGCATGAAGGGGGGCTCTTGCCCTCTGTTTCTGGAAGGAAACATTTAAATACTTACAGTAGTTATTTTTACCTCATCTTGGTGTTATAGGGGCTTGATTCTAACCTTGCTTTAAACGGATACAAGTTTTTAGAGAATTAAGCCTAAGCATTCAAAGGGAAAGTATGACTGTCTCAACATTGATCCATTCTCATTCAGATGACTTATAGGAGAACGCTAAAGAGAAGCCATTTACCTAATGCTAAATAACGAGTTAATGGCTGCAGCACACCAACATGGCACATGTATACATATGTAACAAACCTGCACATTGTGCACATGTACCCTAGAACTTAAAGTATAATAATAATAATAATAATAAAAATAAAGAGAAGCCATTTAGTCTCATTATGGTACTTCAAGGATGCAACAGTCCATAGTACTTGGCAAAAAAACCTTAAATATCAAGAGAGATAAAATGTTGACTTGTGAAAAGCTGAGCAGTGTATATACTAAAACCAAATTTTATATTCTGTATCTAGAAAAAAAGTTGACAAATCCTGTAATACATGGCCTGACAGATGTTGAATATTTAGATGTTGCATTTTATAAAATAGATTATATAAATAAATTATATGAAATAACCATATGTTGACAACAACAACAACAACAATTTGCTTTAAGCACATCCTGGTAATAGTTTATAATGACTGAATTAATAAAAATCCAACTAACTCATTCTTTCAGCCTTCAAAATCTTTGCTTGCTGATAGCTGATTGAAGTGCTACATCATTCATCCAACTAAGTGATTATAATTATCAAATTAATTGTTTCTAAACTATCAAGGTCTAGTTATTTAGATCACTTTACCACTATAATTTCCAGAGTCATTTCTGATTAATAACCACATATAGCTGCTTAGTTTTTAATATCTGGTAAACATTTGCATATTTGGGAGTAAAGATAACAAATTACACCTTAACTATGAATTTGTACTTCAATGCATAGATTTTGTAATTGTTTCTGAATGACAGACGGTTAAGAAACAATTATCTTGACAATGGTGCTTATTTCATATGTGCAGAAAAAAAGTTTTTTTTCAGATTATGCAACGAGTACTTTTTCTCATTGTTACTATTATTATTAGTTACTTAGGATTGGTTCTCCTTACCCATTTAGAAAAATTAAAAGACAAAACAAAACAAAACATGACAACAAAAATGAGAGAAGCTTCCTGATAATTAAATGATGACCAATAATCTCTTAAGTACTTAAATATTTAGTAATTGCACAAAATATATCTAAGTCCTGATGGCACAAAACCTGACTCCCTGCTGTGAGATGTGAGCTTGTCCAGTTGTGAAGAAAGACCATAATACAGTCATAGATTCTCTAAAGAGAAAAATATAGGCAAGAAGTATACAAAGCATTTGGAAGATGAATTGATTTAATTTGTTCATTTGGTTAGCATTATAGGTGAAAATTGTACCTTAACCATCTGATATTAGGTGTATCACAATGGCCAAGGCAGTCAATACCTCAATCTCCTTGTAGTTTAATGTCCATCTACAGTAAAAAAAACAATGACAACACACATCATTTTAGAAGAAAAAATGAAGTATCATAGAAGTCTCAGAGGAAAAGGCAGACAGTTTTTCAGGAAGGTAAAGGAATGAATTATTCTAAGACTATCTGGTGTCAATATGAATGAATTGAAATTTACAGATAGATAACATTCTTCATTTTTAAAGAAAAGTATTATTTCCCAAGTATTATTCTAGTTGTTTCCACTGTCTTCCAAGAATTTACAGTATGAATGGCTGCTGTTTTTTCTTTGAGAGCTGTCCTTTTCTTAAGAACCAGAAGCCTCCATCAATAGAGGCTGCTGTTTTAATTGTTTCTCTTTTTCCCCCACAGGGAAAGGCATGGTTTCTACTGATGACATTGTAATTTGTTACATAAAGCAAAATTCCTTGAGAGAGTGTCTATACTCCTTTTCCTCTCCTCACGTTTATTTGTGAAACTATTTGAATCAGATTTCATCTCCATCCCCCTACAGAAACCAGTATTGTCAAGGTAACAAATAACCTGCAAATTGCTTATGACAATAGTCAATTTCCAATCCTCAAGGTATTTGATCAGCAAGCCCTTCATCACTTTTTCTTTCTCCAGTGATTTATTTTACCTGATATTCAGGGCACCATTCTCTGTTTTCCTCTACACTACTGACCATTTCGTTATAGACTCTTCTCCTAATTTAGCCAGAGCTGTAAAATCTGGAGTGCCTGGGCATTGGACTTCTACTCTTTCCTGTGATTACTTTCCTGGTGATTTACCCAGACAGGGCTTTAACTAGTGTCTTTGTGCTGGTGATGCCCAAATTTATATACTTTATCTTTGTAATAGATTGAAATTATGGTTTCCCTCTTTCCTAGATGATAATTATATCCCCCAACTCTAAAAAACAAAATTCAGACTTGACCATGCAACTTACTGTGGACAATGAAATGGTAATGGAGATTATTTTGTCCATCTGCAGGAGAAGCTTCATGACCAGTGTGAGACCCATGTTGTTTTTTCCTTGTGCTATGAGTCTGGCAAAGTGTTAAACACATCTGCTCTGTCATTCTGGGACTCATAGTCAAAGCAACTTGGAGTACAGCCTTAGCAGCCCCAGGGTGGCTATGTAATATGAGTGAGTATTTAAAAATGTGTTTGCCATAAGCCACTGAGGTTTGGGAGTCCCTTGTTTTTGCTGCATATGAAGTATTTTGACTGGTGCAAACCTCTCTTTTCCCAGATCTCACGTACTAACTCTTTAGTGAACACCAGCACACTGTTGTTTTACATGGTCCAAATAAACTCCTCATGATTTTCCTCTAAGTTTTTTCTTCCTGCAGTATTCTTTATCTCACTAAATGGCAATTCCATTCCTTCTGTTGTTCGGGCCTTGATTTGTATTTTCTCTCACAGTTGCAAATCAGTCTATTGGCAGATCCTGTGAACTTCAAGATATACTATTTTACGTCTATAAATATATGATTGCTTTGAAAATTATGTTTTAAATTTGTACTATTTATTTATTTTTTGTTGTAGAGGTTAGGTTTCATGTTGTCCAGGCTGATCTCAAACTCCTGGGCTCAAGCCATCCTCCTGCCTCAGCCTCCCAAAGTGCTGGGATTAAAGGTGTGAGCCCCTGTGTTTGGCTATATGACTGTTTTTTTTGTTGTTGCTGTTTTGTTTTTACAATTCCCCCTCTAATACAAGTCATCATCTTCTCTAAACTGAAAAAATCCTAACTGATCATTCTGGCTCTCTTTTGCCTCTTTGCTTCTCCTTTATATTCCATTCATTGTTCCGCAGCCTGAGTGATCACATTATTCCTGTGCTCAGAAGCCCTTAGAGTCATTAGAGATTTTTGCCATTGCCTAGAGAACCTTTATAATCTACTCTCTGACCTACCTCCACCCATTCTCTCCCTCTCCCTACTCTATTTCAGCCACATAGTTCCCCTGTGGTTCTTCCTCAGGATCTTTGCATTGCTGTTCCCTATGTCTGGAATGCTTTTTCCCTAATACCAAGAGGGCTCACTCTTTCACCAACTTTAGATCTTTTCCTGAGATATCACTGGATTTATGGGTCCACCTTTGTCTACTGTATAGAAATAGCAAGTCTGACCCGTGCACACTGCTCTTCTAATCACCTTCATCTTAATTTTTCTCCAAAGTGCTTAACACCATGTGACAAATCATACATATACTTGTTTTATCTATCTTCTCCCACTTGACTACAACCAGGATTTAACTGTTTTGCCCACAACCGAACCTCTTGTGCCCAGATCAGAGTCTGGCATATAGATGTGCTCAGTAATACATATCAATCAATGATGGGCAGGGACACAGAGAGCTATAAGGTCCTGGCTGTTCCACTTACTGCCTTTGGGGCCTTGGACAACTTATTAACTTCTATGCTTTAGTTTTTATACTCTGGAAAGTGAGAATAATTGTACCTATCTCATACGATTTATGTGAACCATTTTAAAGGAAAAAATATAGATATAGCACTTAGAACATGACTGGTACAAAGTAAGTGATAATAAATATTACCAAAAAAGGAAGACAGGAATAAAATAGTAGACAAGCGGTGAGTATAAGGTACACCACAAATTCGTAGTCTCTGATTTCAGCTGAGCTGCTGCAAACTGAATCAACTCGCATTATCCTTACCCTCTATGCCTCCGTGTTCTTGTCTATAAATCATTAAAAATAATAGAATTTAAAGAATTGGAGATAATGTATATATAATGTCCAGCCCATGGTTTACCCATAGTAGGCACGAAAATAGTTACCATTATAACGACAAAGATTTTTTGAGTGATTAATTTGTATCAGAAAGTTACTTCTTTCGCAATCTTGTAAGATAGCTATTGTTATTATTCAACTTTTCCAAATAAATTAAGTTGTGGACAGGTTTGGAAACTTGTACAAGAACATGTGCTAATAAGTGGTGGAGCGGGGATTTTCTGTCTATTTACTGACTTACTAATTAATACGTATGAGTGTTCATCCTCATAGAGATTAAAAGCAATCTGGCAGGGAGGTGGTTGATATAAAGAAAGTTGAGTAAATAGTGATGTGGGATTTAAATAACAATCCAAGCCAATATTAAAAGCTTCTACATGGCAGATATGGAACTTTTATGCCATGGGTTGTGTTAACTGTGGGAATTCAGATCAAAGAAAGAGCAACAAGGGAATTTTTGAAGGAGAAAAATAACTGGTTGTGTGTTGATGTGGTAATTAAGATTTAAACAGATTCACCTGTGGATTGGCCAATCACACCTTATGCTGTCATTTCTGAGTCTTCATCTCCTCCTTCCCCTCTCTGGAAATGTTGTCATCTCTGGCTTCTTTTGCTACTTCCAGAAGCATAGCTGTTCTTTAGGATTGGTTCTGTTATACATATATTCCAGATAAGAGGCTTGTGGATGTTTTTCTGAATAGATGTAATAAATCTGAAAAGAGAAGCTGTTTGTCTTATTTCTTGAGCTTATAAAGTGTCCAATAACTCATCCAAAAGCTTAATTTCTCATAAGCAAGGAAAGAAGGAAAATAACATTGGGGGTTATCTATTATGCTTTACATAATATCACCTAATCCTCGGAAAACCATGTAAGGTAAATAATAGATCTCTATTTTATAGATGACAGAATTGATGTTTAGAGAGATAAAGTAACTTGTTCAAAGTCATGCAGCTTTGGTGAAGGCTTGAATACGGAGGCTCTTCCTTCCAACAGGCACTTTTCCTGGCCTCTTCATTCTACTAAATATACCTGAAGGATGTTAAGGAGGTAAAATGAAAAGTGGAGCAAACATTTTCAGTTTTTAGCTCTGAATTTTTGGCTGACATTTTAATTCATCTGTTTAAAACTTATGTTAACTTAAAACCCTGAAAAAGAAAGAAAATTATTCTATATTTTAACTTTTGGAAAATATATAGGGAAAAATATTAACAACTAAAGAGAAATCTAAGACTAGTAAGATATACGTGTATATATATGATTAAATATATATATTTCTATATCTATATATGCTTATTTGAATATATATACTTCTATGTCTATATCCATATGTTAATTCATATGATATCTATATCTATATGCACATCCATATCTATCATTTGATTCATTAATGTGTTCATCTATCTCTATTAGATAAGAAGATTCTCCCAATGTATCATTATGCTCTTCTTCCTATGTTGAAAGAAATTACTATGTACTTGCCAATATATCTTTAAAAATAGAAGCTATAATCCAAATCTAATGCATTTCCTTCCCCACGAGCATAGGATTCTTTTTCCTGGGCAACAATAAATGTAGAAGAAGGCTTAATAAATGTTATCAGGGATGCAGTGATGGACATGCAGCTATATACAACCTGTATTAGCAGGTGGCAAGTAGTGTTGCTATCTTTCCTGATAAAACCAGCAAAATGTTTTGTTGGGAGGATGCCTGGGTTCTCTGAGTAAGGGGTTTGCCCAGGCATTGAAAAAAACATAGTGAAGAAAAGGAGATGCCAAAACTAGGACCAGACAAGGGATCCAGAAGGCTCTCTCATGCAGGTAAAACTGTGAGGTTTGTATAATTTGCTACCTGGGAATTATTAATAATAAAGTGATGTGCTATGTGGGTACTGTCATCCCGTTTTTCCTGGAGGTTTTTAGACAAAAGTTATCCCTAACTACAAAGACATATCACTGCCTCAGGCTGGTGCAAAAGACACTATTGTCAGATTGCTCTGAGTAATCTGGACCTACCTCTATCCTCACTGTCTGAATCCTTGTTTCAAAAGAGCAGCCTCATCACTGCCTGTCAGAAGTACGACTGGCTGGTCTGCCACTGCTGTTTCTTAACATGGGTAAGAAATCCCACTACGTGCTGTTTTCAGCCTGTCTAAATGTTTATTTTCTGTTTTAGCTGCAAATCTTACACTTCTTTCTCCATTGTTTTTCCATTGTGTTAAAATACTGAGCAAGTGCTCTGGTCTACACCAGGTCACACATTCTTTTTAAAGATTGTTCTTGGAGACCTTGTACTTGTTAGTCTTATGTAACACGCTGAGTTTTTTCAGAGAAATAAATTCAGTGAAATTATCATTTAGTATAGCTTAACGCAGGTCCAAAGACTGAGGAAAATCACACTATGAAAAATAAAAATTAAAATTAAAAAGGCACACCTTTTTCTTTTTCCTTTTTCTGTTCTACAATGTTATACAGAATGTGGCTTTGTCCAGGTCACTCCCCTACTCAATTACTTCAGTAGCCCCACATTGCCTACTGGAAAAAGGAGAAATACTGTGTTCTGTGTGCCGATGACAAGTTAGCAACTTTATACAACTTATTTAACCCTCAGAAACCTGCTACTCTACTTTCCCAATAGTACGTGTAGCTATAAATGGATAAACTGCAAATCTGGCTTTCTATGCCCTTTGCAGCATTAAAGGTGACATCCCTCTATGCCTTTATGGATTCCACCTCCTAGACAAAGCCAACCACTCTGGTTTCTATGCTTTTCTCACCATTGAGATTTTGCTCATGTTGTTCCTCCCTGCACCCCCTCCTAAAAATGCCCTTCTCCTTGTATTTCACCTTCAGATCCTAATATTCTAGCACTCCCTTATTCTAAATGCAGCTTCCTATTATCTCTCTGCTGTGCTCCAAGCTGCTACTCCAAGCACATTGTGATCTCTTCCTCCTTTGAATGGCCAATGGCCAAAATAAGGTATGTGAAATTCCTAAACACACTTTGTACCTGTGCCATCTTTTTCCATGTGCATATTGTTCTATGAGACCCGAAGATCTTGTGTAAATAGGAACCTTCATTATATTTTATACCATATATTAGTAAATGATTTAATAGGCTAAATTATCTAACATCCAAGTTTTAGATAATGTGAATATTTAAAAGTCTGCTTTATTCTAAATTCTAACTAAGTTCCAATGAAATTTTTATTTTTTAATGCTTTGAATATTTATTATATTAACTTTAATTTAGCTTATAATGTGGTAGAATTCAATAGCAAAGACATGGAATCAACCTAAATGCCCACCAACCGTTGATTGGATAAAGAAAATGTGGTACATATATACCATAAAATACTATGCAGTCATAAAAAGACAAAGCATTTCCTTTGCAGAAACATGAATGCAGCTGAAAGCCATTATCCTATGTGAATTAACGCAGGAACAGAAAACCAAATACCATGTGTTATCACTTTTAAGTAGGAGCTCAATATTGGGTGCTCATGAACATAAATATGACAATAATAGATAATGAAGACTACTAGAGGCGGGAAAGGAGGGGAGAAAAGGTTTGAAAAACTAATTGTTGGGTACTATGCTTAGTACCTAGGTGCTGGGTGGTGGGGTCATTTGTACTTCAAACCTCAGCATCAGACAATATACACAGCTGGCAAACTAGCACATGTACCCCCCTGAATCTAAACTAAAAGTTGAAAAACAAAAAAAGGAAACAAAAAGAAAGTGGTAGAATAGAAACTCAATGTTAAAAAAGAACAAAGGAAGAGATGAAGATAAACAGCAACAACAACAAAAAGAGAGAGTTGAAGGTAAAATAGTTTTGAGTATGGAGTGACATCACAGAAAGTACAATTTCATTAACCTGTGAATATGAGAAAAGTGGTGTGGTGGTGCCATTTTGTAAACAATGACAGTCCTTCAATATTAAATACTCACAGGAAAAGTAAACTAATTGCCATATAAATACAAATCACCGGGCTAAGTGAATATACATACATCTTCTCACACAGACGTGTAATGTCAAGATTAGTATCAACTGTTTATAGGAGAGAAATTCAGGCTGAGAGACATTATTGCTTGCTTAATGTCACAGAGCATCTAGATGACAAATAAAAATGTGCTGTATCTGAATTGAAAGTTCATGAGATGGAGAGTAGCTTCACAGGATCCTGTGGAACCAGATGCCAGTTTGTGGAGCATGTCTGGTTTGCATCAGTGATCCCAGTGCACCAATTTGTATCACTGGCTGTTTTTTTTCTTGCTTTTTTGCCCCACAGGCATAGTGCTCCCACATGACTTTGAATACTGCTACAAGCTCCATTACATAAAATTCATACCCAGCTGCTGAGGAACACAAATACTGTTCTACCCAAGAAGGTTTGCATTTTGAAAGGAAAGAGTTAGCTGGACCCATGGTAAATATAAACAATTTTTATTTATCCATTAAAATAAAATGGTCCAAAAAATAAAAATGATAGAATGAATATTAGCAATAGTCTAGTGATTTTATAAAATTGGGGGCATTCTTGGAAACTTTAATCTAGGAAAAACATATACATTTATTGTACAATAGCGAACACTCTTGAGAGTGTCCTTAGACACTCTTTTAGACAAATTAGAATGACATTCACACTATTTAAAACACCTGCTGAGTAAACAGACAACCTAAAGAATAGGAGAAGATATTCACAAACTATACATCCAACGATGTATGAATATCCAGAATCTAAAAGGAACTTAAACAATTCATCAAGCAAAAAAACCAAATAACCCCATTAAAAAGTGGACAAAATACATGAACAGACACTTTTCAAAAAAAGACATACAAAACAGCCAGCGAACACTTAAAAAATGCTCAACATCGGTAATCATCAGGGGAATGCAAGTCAAAACCATATATCACAATAGTCAGAAGGGCTATTATTAAACGTCAAAAAATAACATGCTGGCAAGGCTGCAGAGAAAAGGGACACTTATACTTTGTTGGTCAGAATGTAAATTAGCTCAGTCACTGTGGAAAGCAGTTTGGAGATTTCTAAAATAACTTAAAACAGAACTGCCATTCGATTTGGCAATCCCATTACTGGGTATATACCAAAGGAAAGTAAACTAGTTCTACCAAAAAAGACACATGAACTCGTATGTTCATCACAGCCCCATTCACAAGAGCAAAGATATGGAATCAACCTAGATGACCACCAACAGTGAATTGGGGAAAGAAAATGTGGTACATATACACCATGGACTGGTACACAGCCATAAAAAAGAATGAAATCATGTCCTTAGCTGCAACATGGATTCAACTGGAGGCCATTTTCCTAAGTAAATTAACACAGGAACAGAAAACCAAATACAACATGTTCTCACTCATAAGTGGGAGCTAAATATTGGGTACTCATGGATGTAAGGATAAGAACAATAGACACGGGACTACTAGAGGGAGGAGAATGCGAGGAGGGCAAGGGCTGAAAAACTACCTATTGGGTATTATGTTCATTCCCAGGATGACAAGATCATTTGCACACCAAACCTCAGTGTCACACAATGTAGCCATGTAACAAATCTGCACATGCACTTTCTGAATCTAAAATAAAGGTTGAAATGATCAAAATAAATAAGTAAATAAGATATTTGCTCAACTATGTATGAGTGTCTTGTCTTTGATTTTAGATTTTAAAGAAATAATATTTGGAAGATTGACAAATTGTTAAAGGTTTTAAGATGCTTCACTAAACATTCTTTAAATATAACCTATATACTTAATATGGTGAACCTGAAAGTGTGATGCTTAAATTCCAGAACACGAGACGTTGTCTCAATTTGCTCTAGGTCATGGAGTAAATTACTATAATCTTTAACACGTTCAGATTTTAAAAGGACCATGTGAAAGTCTTGTAATGAATTAACTTCCTTTTACCCAGCTGCTTATATATGCAGTTTTGGGCAGCACAGTTCATGTTACGCAAGACAATAGTTTCTATTGTTGCTATCACTGTGGTTATCAGAGAGATAATTCTTTTTCCTTGTAAAAATGAAACACTTTAAAATTAATGTGAAGAATGGAGTAAGATAAACGCCACGAAATATATCAGGTTAGAAAAATGATGAGATTTTATAAAATACCTAATATGTCAAGAAGAGTTGATTATAAAATTATTACATTAATGTACTACCCACTATGATCTATGAAATTTTTAGCTTCCATCTGTCTATGCTAGAATGCTAGAATAACTTATTAAACATGCATATTTATTTTTCAGTCTTTTTTTTTTTTGCAGCTGCTATATTTTACATTATTGTCAGAAGGAGTGAAACATAACTAACAAATAAACAGGGTTAATTCCTTGGTTATTGGCACATGAGACATTTTTCTTGAAACATATTAGTGTGTTGAACCAATATTTGAGCATTTACTATTAAGAAATCATGCTTATAGATGGTGAGGACCAAAAAATACTTTATTTCATCAAATTTAAGATGTCATTTCTTTCAAGATGCTACATTTTTATATATGATTCTGAAGGAAAAGGATGCTAGATGCCATTGATTGTAAGACACATCCTTCATGTTTTCCTTGAGAGTGATATCGAAGAAAAAAAATATATATCATGATTTCAAGGATGTGGAATTGCAACACTCTGTGTTTTAAATTCAATAAAAAATTGTATGGTCTGGTTTACTAAGACAGTGAATTCAGTGCACAGTTAAGAGAACAGAAAATCTATAGGAGAGGCATCTTTACACATTTTTACCAGAGGGAATGACAAAATGAAAATTGATGTCTCATTTGCATTGGGCATAGAAAGCTAATTTAAGGAAACAGGATGTGGTTAATTCTTGGAACAATTAAATACTCTTGGAGAGTAGGTGGTCATAATTTGAAGAATTAATTCAATATGAAGGAATTCAATATGAAGAATAAATTTACAATGAGGAATTCTGGAGTCAGGAAAATAAAGAGAACTCACAAAATTAAAGTAACAAGACCCTGGTCATAAGTAAAGGCAGAAAGATTAAACAGAAACTTTGCCATGAATAAATTATTCTAATAGGTGCTGGTGAATGAAGAGGGAGTGAAATTAGTAGAATCTAGTATATTAATACTTGACTTCAAAATTTGAAGTGTGAATGATGGACACAAGCTGGTATACTACTTGTGGAGAGAATAAAGCTAAGAAATAAAGCTAAGAAAATGATTTTAGTGTTAGATGTTGTAGATGGTTGTAGACGGTTAGATGGTGTGGACAGGACTACTGATTGACTACTAAGATTATATTGGAAATTTGTAGTGACAGCAAAAAGGAAAACTTATGGCTTATGTGATAAATTTAAGAATAATGATAGCAGAAACATAATGTCTTCTCTTCCTCCTCCTCTCACTAAGGAAAAGGTAAAACGCAGAATTTATTACACATTTTGGCCACATATGCAGTGGCCCCTTGCAGTCACCCACTGTGTGTTTTTTCCTCATATATGACTTGACTATTTCTCTCTCTTTCTCTCTCTCTTTCTCTCTGCCCCCTCCCTCTCACTCTCCTTATTTTTTTCTCTCTCTCTTTCACTCACTCAACCTTCTTTAAGAAATTGACTGATAAACCATGATTGATGTCTGATCAGGTTGTTTATAATTTAATGCATAAGGCAGATACACATATACAATTCTACACGAGGAAAATGCAATCAGCAAAACACAAAATTTGTAAGCAAAATATTATTAGGGTTCAGAGACTAGGAAATTCTTCTGGCCAAAGAGAATTCCTTCTGCCAGATGAAGTCTATGTAGTAGGAGAATATGAGTTCTACAGTGAATCCTGGTTAGAATTATTCAGAAATAAGTATTGTTGATGTTTGCCTAGTTTAAAAAAGTGAACTGTAAAACAGTATAGAAAAGAATGAAAATTATTCATTATCTCACACAAGAGAAATAACCACAGTAAATAACACGTCCTTCCTCTCATCTATATATTTTTTTATATATGGACCATACTGTGTGTATGTTGCATAACTTGATTTTACCACTTAATGTTACCTCCTAAGCATTTACCCAACTCTTTAAAGAATATAGACAGCAATACTTACGTATTATATATACTGTCTTAGGTGGATACATTATATTTTACTTAATCTTTTATTATTACACATTTTGATATTTCCAAGTTTCTTTATTGTAAGTAATGCCTCAACGCTTGTCAGATTAGTTTCTTAGGATAGGTTGCTATCAGTGACATTACTGCATAAAAGGTGTGAACAATTTGAAAACTTGTAAACTGGTAAACATAGGAAACTGGTAAACTGGTAACTTTTACATGGAAACATGGAAAACTTGTAAACTGGTAAACCTTTGAAAACTGGTAAACCTTTGAAAACTGGTAAACATGACCAAACAGCTTTCTCTATAGATTGTGAAAATGTACAATGCCATTTGAGTGTGAGAACGTCTGTCTTAAATACTCTTATATTTGTTCAATGTTTTTACTTCCATTATGAATGTATAATGATTGGAATGAGAAAAAAATCATTTTTAACAACCATGTATTTCATTAATTTAAAACATTAAACACTTATAAAATAATTTGTTAGATAGACACAGTCTGTCTTTTAGATGCTCTGTTTAACATAATTTGACCATGTGTTGAGGTTTATAACTATGCAATAGATTTATTGTATGATTTCATTATAGGTTAGAATAGTAATCCTCTGTCAGATTTCTTTGAAATGTATTTCAATTTATATTGTTTAAGATTAACAGATGATTCAGAAAATCGATTCTATAAACCCTTCAATATTTGGTTTCTTTCGTTGCTCACCATCAAATCCTTTCCATATTTTATAATTAATTACTAAGTATATAATTTATTTTAGTGTTGAAATAATGTATTAAAGTATATTTTATTATTTAATCCTTCTGAGATTTACTTTATTAAAAAATAAAGTAGGCCGGGCGCGGTGGCTCACGCGTGTAATCCCACCACTTTGGGAGGCCGAGGCGGGTGGATCACGAGGTCAGGAGATCGAGACCATCCTGGCTAACACGGTGAAACCCCATCTCTAGTAAAAATACAAAAAATTAGCTGGGCGTGGTGGCGGGTGCCTGTAGTCCCAGCTACTCTGGAGGCTGAGGCAGGAGAATGGTGTGAACCCGGGAGGCGGAGCTTGCAGTGAGCCGAGATTGAGCCACTGCACTCCAGCCTGGGCGACAGAGCGAGACTCTATCTCAAAAAATATATATATAAAAAATAAAGCAGAATTTATCAAGTACCAATTTTTTAGATAACCTCTTTGTCTATTCACTTTGTGATTTTTCCTTTAAGACACATTAACCAATTACATACCTCTGGGTCTACTTCTGGTCTCTCTATTCTATTCACTTGATATTACTGTCTATCACTATGCCAAAACCAAACTCACGTAAACTATTTGAGTTTTAAGATTTGTTTAGTTTCGGCTGGGCGTGGTGACTCACACCTGTAATCCCAGAACTTTGGGAGGCCAAGGTGGGCAGATCACGATGTCAGGAGTTCAAGATCAGCCTGGCCAACATGGTGAAACCCCATCTCTACTAAAAATACAAAAAGTAGCTGGTCATGGTGGTGCGTGTCTGTAATCCCAGCTATTTGGGAGGCTGAAGCAGGAGAATCTTTGAATCCGGGAGGCGGAGGTTGCAATGAGCGGAGATCGCACCATTGCACTCCAGCCTGCGCGATGAACGATGAAGCAAGACTCCATCTCAATAAACAAATAAACAAACAAACAAATAAATAAATAAATAAATAAATAAATAAATAAAATTTGTTTTGTTTATCCAGCCAAGCTCATTATGAAAGCATGTATTAGTTTAAATTTTTCTTTAACTATCTCGGTGGGATTTTGGTTTCTTTAAAATCTTGCTCCGTTTATATTGGGATATTTTACATATTTTAATGTTACTACAATTTAGTGCTTTTTTAAACTTTTTTTTCCTCTTTGAAAGACTGATTTTATGTCCTTTCTGTATATACCCAGAAATGGAATTGCTGGATCATATGGTAGTTCTGTTTTTGTTTTTGTTTTTATACTTTAAGTTCCAGGGTACATGTGCACAACGTACAGGTTCTCACTCATAGGTGGGAATTGAACAATGAGAACACTTGGACACAGGAAGGGGAACATCACACACCGGGGCTTTTTTAAACTTTATGTCATCTAAATAATTATTGATGATAAAAAGAAACATTTTTGAATGTTGTATAATTACCCTTTAATCCATAAATTTAGGGAACTTTAATTAGTTCAGTTAATAATCTTAGTTTTAAAAATGTTTAAAGATTCTTTTCTTCTCAAATAATTATCTTTTCTTCTTCTCCTTTGATTTATCCTATGCTTTATTATATTGACCATTATTTCCTGGATAACGTCTTAAAAATGTTTTAAAAACGGTGGTAACAGACGGCTTTTTTTTTTTTTTCGGATCTTAGTGAGAAGGCAATTTTGTTTCACTGTTAAGCATGCTATTGACTATCGGTTTAAAACAGTCTTTTGAGTTAATATGTATTTAATGCCTTTCTAAAGTCAATTCAACATATTTTAACTTCTGAATCACTTGATCTGCTATTCTATATTAATATATTTCCTAGCATTAAAATAGAAATTCACTTCTAAGATAAATCCTATTTAGACGAGATAGGGCGCTTTTAGGGTGATATGGCTATAGACAATAAACCCTATTTTGTAGTTCTAAGTTATTCTGTTAACTAAATCTCTGTAATTCCTTTGTGTATAACCTTGTCACTTATTTTTACCAAAGTAAAAATATTTATTTTGTGGTTATCTTTTCAGGTTTTGACTTTAAGACTATACCATATCCAGAACATAAATTATTGAGTTTTCTGCTACTCCTTTACTTTGCAAGCATTATTATTATTTCTTTTTTAATGTTAGTAAAGTTAAAAGTGTATAGGTCTGAAAGAAAGATCACTCCTAAAATATTTGAGCTTAAAGATTTTTGTTGAGAAAAATTATCTCATAGATTTTATGTTCTGTATTATAATTACTTCAATAAAAATTTCTGGCCAACATATTATTAAACCACATTATAGAAAATTTAGAAACTTGAGAGAAATCAAATCACCTAAATTCAATTTATCAATAATCTATCTATCTACCGATCTACCTATATATCAATTTATACAAATTGACATTGTACTTTATATATAATTTTGATTTATTTTTTATTTTACATCATCTCGGCAGTATTGTTGATGTTTCAGCTTAAAATACATGGTAACAATTATTTTAACTCAGCTCTATATTTGAGATATTTCAATAATTCATATCTTCAAGTTTCATGCCATTGCAACCCCATTATGTATTTTAATTTTGATTTTAAAATGTCCTTAAGTTATTTTTATTGATGATTTGTTGATACTATGATTTTTCAGCCTTTGCATGAAGAAAACTATATCTGAGTTTGAAGACAGATTTTTTTTGTCTTTCCTCTACTTACATGATTTTTTGTTGTTTATTTTTTGTAAGCTATCAAATTATCACAATGTGCCTATAGCCTGATACAATAAACATACTCAAACTACATGCTTAAATTTATTTTTTGGCTTAGATTCATTGCTTAAGTTTATGTTAGATACTGAATAATTTTTAAAGGAACACATTGGTATTTCTGGACTTCTTTTTTCTGTTTCTTTATAAAGAAATTCCAATTACTTAAGGCTATATAATAAGAAATTATTCCTAGAGTAATAAAAAAAAATTAGCATAATGTTGCCTAGAGCTAACACTTTCTTACATTCTTGAGGAAAGGAAGAAATTTTCTGACATGTATTGTTCTTTTCATTTCTAGGGATCTATTCTTTCTCTTAGTTTTTAGGCAACATTTCCTGTCTTTTGACAGGAGGTTTCTGAGGTTTCTTCATCACCTCAATTTCTGACACTAGAGTGTTCAGTTTGATTTTCCACCATTCCATTAACTGTCCTGGTGCTGTTAATATCCCCCATTTTATATATAAAATGAAGAGCAGTATAATGTGCCCACTTCCTAGTCGTGTCTCAGTTTCCTAAAGGGCATTTATCTAATTGGTTCATCTAGAGCTAAATGCCTCTTTTGTCACTCCTCGCTCATTCCTCACAAGGTTTCTGATTATCAGCAGATCACTCCAAGGCTATCTGTGGTCTCCCTTCATTAAATGAGTTATATCCTTTGCCTGAAAATCACAAGTCCTGCACACAATGTGAAGAAAATGTTCTATTTCCTGTTATGCCTTTTTTTTTTTTTGGCTGAAATTGTAGCCTTTCAATGGATTTAGAAAGGCAGGTTCTGAGGGTGGTAGGTTGAGGAGGAAAAACATCTGCCAATATTACTTGATGTTGTGCTGGGGTTTCTGATTGAGGCAGGCTTCTGTTCTTCAATCAAAGTATACAGAGTGGAAGAGGGGCTAATATTTCCGTAGCCTAACTCCAAAGAAGAGTTTACTTTAAAATTCAGTTTATCCATCTGTCTTGATTTTTTAGAAATCACTTCTGAAGTTTTACAAATATTTTCCTGTTTCCATTAGTGTTGATGACTACTATACTCTGTTGTCTTTTTCTGTTTCCACAAATATTTAAATAATAAGTTATGAGAAGCATATTATGAAAAGTTAGCTTGATGTCATCTTCACTTGGATTTCCACCTTATGCAGAAGAAACAATATAAGTGGTCAGAAGTGTGAGAAAATGGGGGTATTTCTGGGAAAATGCTAAGAGTTGTACAGTTTTATATTGGATTGTAAAATGAAGATCCATTAACATTTTTCACCTAAAATTTGGCATTATGAAGCTCTATGTAATGAAAATTTGACCACGATTCATCCAATGAGTCAGGGATTTATGAGGTTTCTTGCAATGGTTCAAGTGAGAGGGAATTCAGGGTACTGTTAGATTGAGACATTTATGACAGTATGTAGGACTTAGAAGGTCAAATTGTGCAATGGCTAGTTGTCAAAATTAGACTGCTTGTTCACTTTAGAGTAACTTACTATGAAGCCACTTACTAACCATATAATCCTGGGCATGCTTCTTAACTTCTCTGTGCAGCATTTACCTCAGAATTGGAGGTGGTTACTGGGTGTTCTTTATAGGATTGGCAATTGCACCAATACTAAGAGCTCAATAAATTTAAGCCATTATTATTGCTCACATATGATTACTTCCTCAAAAGTGAGCTTACTATAAGCAGTAACCACACAGGTGGAACAATCCCCTTGAATACTGAGCTTTCTACCCCAAAAAAGTGTCATAAGGATGCATTTATATCTTTCCTGCTCAACTAGCTAGGGTTGTTGAGAAATGGTCATTAAATTGGTATTAGTATGTTCAGAACCTTGTTTAGAGTTATTTGAAAATGTGGATATCACTTCCAAGTGTTGTCATCTGAATTCTGGTTTTTATTTGGAGTTAATAATATGGATATATTTACCCTCTCTTAAACTCTAATAAATAAATCTATGTCTATTTTATAAGTATTTGACTCCACCCGTGAACTTCGTTTTTCCTGCTTTTTGTGAATTTGAGAGCTTTGATTTCTCTGGTATGCTAATCAAAGTGTTTTCACTTGCATATCTTTCATTTACTTATGAGGGTGAGAAGAATGAGATAATATTGGGTTAGTATTTCATTTGTTTAATTTTTTGTAATAGGCAATTGGAATGTATGTAAATGAAGATGATTTTCTTATTAGAGGCAATTGGTATGTTCTTCCTACTAAAATTAAGTGCCCTCTTGGAAACTTATAAAAACAACAAATACATAATCTTGGAACTTCTGTCAGTATTTCATTACTTGGGGAGAGATCAGTAAATGTTAGAGATTAGGACATATCTGCCTTGTGACATCAAAAATTTATTTTGCTTGTTAGAATTTTGAAACCTCAGCCCAGTCCAGGAATAACAGTTATTTGTTCAGCTCAACATGTTAAAGGAACACCTGTGACTTTTGCAATTTAAAATGAGAGAGTCTAATTTATTGTCACAGGAAATGTAGTTGTTTATGTGTAAGACACCTTTATGTCAAATGTCTCTAGAACAGAGTGCAAGTTTGAAAAGCACAATAATTCCTGGGGAAGAGAAGCTGAATTTTGTTTATAGTAAAAGTATTAATAGTGGAAAAAAAAAAAAAAAGACTAGCATTTAAGTACTCGCCATTTTGCAGGCATGGCCTAACTTATCCAATCTCCATGATGACATAATAATTTTTATTTTTTTCACTTTACAAAAGAAGAGACTCTTAGACTTGCCCCGATTATGCAGACAGTAAATAGACTATTTGGACAAAGACATTTTGATTCAGAACTGGAGCATAGAGGCACTATACACAACTTCCTAATAATTAAAATGTGTAAACAGCTTTAATCACAAAAGTGACTCCTTGAAAATGATGGAATATGAAAAGATACCATCACTGCTGTGGAAGAAAGGCATTCATCCCTTTTGTAATTCTAACATGCCAAAGTAGGGGAAATCAGCCATCTTAATCAGAAGGCTCTGGGACAAAAATAAAAAATATTATTTAGTAGCAATAAAATGTCACTTGGTTCTGAGAAGAGACTATTAATAAACTATCTTATGAGCAAAAATGATGGCAATTGGTGGCAATTGTTTAATCAAATAAAAATAAACTTTACTAAGGCAGAATTTACACATAATGATATTTACCAAATTTAAATGTGGAACTTGATGAGTTTTAGAATATACATATACATACTGAAAAATACATATAGCCAAATATCATACGTAGAATATTTCTGCTACCTCAAAAATTTAGCTTATGTTCTTTTGCACTAAATCATCTCTTCTAACCTATCATCTCTGGCAACCATTGATATGCTATTTCTCTTTACAGTGTTTTCATTTTCTAGAATTTCTTATAAATGAAATTATACAGTATGTAGTTCTTTATATCTGGCTTGTTTTACTTAGCATTATGCTTTGGACACTTACCTATGTTGTTGTGTGTATCACTTATTTCTTTTTATTGTTGAGTAGTATCTCATTATAAAAATATACCTCAATTTATTCATCTGTTCAAAAATTGGTGGATATTTGAGTTTTTTCCCATTTTTGGCTATTGTTGACAAGCCGCTTTGAACATTTATGTCCGTGTGTGTGTGTGTGTGTGTGTGTAGTGATACACGACCTAGAACGAAATTATTGAGGCAGATAGTGAGGGCCACTCTTGAGGTTTCACTTTTAACAAAAAGCAGCCCCTAAATCGCTTATTTTCTAACAAGAGTAGCCTGAAAAATAGAGCTGCAAACATAGATAAGCAAGCTGGAAGCTAGCAAAGGTAAATGCCGGCAGCTGTGCTAATAGGAAAGGATAGGCTACCTGGGAGCCATCATGGAAGATCCATCTTCCCTTTTCTTTTTCACCACATGTGCAGTAAGGGAATAGGCAACTTGTCACCCAAAGGCCAGGTAGAGAATCCATCTGCATAATAAAAGATTACGGTGGGGCGGCCAGCTTCTTCGCACACTATGTAAATGCACACCTGGTCCAACCAATCTTTTGGGGCCTATGTAAATCAGACACCACCTCCTCAAGCTAGTCTGTAAAACCCCGAGCATATCACCACAGAACCAGAAGAGCTGCTCCAGGGCCCCTCTCTCCCTGCAAGAGAGAGAACTTTTCTTTTTCTTTCACCTATTAAACCTTCACTCTTAACCTCAATCCTGTGTGTTCCCGTCCTTGATTTCCTTGGCATGTGGCAATGAACCTCAGGTATCACCCTAGAAGCCTGACTCCGCTTCAAAAATTTGTATTGGATTAATGTCTAGGAGTGAGATTTCTTGGTCACATGGAAAGTATATATTTAACTTTGTAAGAAACTGCCAAACTGTCTACCAAGAGGAGGTACCATTTTATATTCTAATTAGCAATATATGAAAGTTTCTCTCACTTTCGATATTGGCCAAATTTTAAATTTTAGCATTTCAGATGTGTAGTGGTTTCTCATTGTGGCATTGATTTTATTTTCTTAATTATCAATAATGCTGAACATATTTTTGCATTCTTACTTGCCATTCATAGAATATTTAATTAGCACATGTTTAGATCTAATTTACGTGCCATAAAAGCTACCTCTTGAAAGTATGCAATTCCCTGGGTTTGATAATATTTACAAAGTTGTACAATTATTACCATAATCTAATTTTAGAACATTTTTATTATCCCCAAAAGGCCAGACCACCACTAATCCACTTTGTGTCTCTATAGAGTCACCTATTCTGAACTTGTCATATAAATAGAATCATATAATATGTGATCTTTTCTGACTATAGTCTTCTACTTAGCATAATGTTTTTATATTCATCTTGTTGTAATTATCATCACTTTACTCCTGAAGTATCTGTGCAAATCTTTTCCTCACTTGTTAAAACAGTTTTTTTAGTATTGAGTTATAAGTGCTTTTAAAATGTACTCTCAATCCAAGTCCTTTATCAGTTACACATTTTACAAATATTTTCTTCCAGTGTATGCTATGCTTTTTCATTATTTAGTGTTGTCTTTTGAAGAAGAAATGTTTTTAATTTTGGTGCAATACAACTTATCCATTTTTTATTTGTGGTTTGTGATTTTTATGTTGAATGTAAGAAAGCTAGCTTAACCCAAGAACTCAATATTTTCTCTTTTGTTTTCTACAAGAAGTTTAAAAGTTTTATTAATATATTAAATCTATTGTCTCCTATAAATTGATTTTTATACTAAATAAGACATGGGTCAAGGTTTATTTTCTTTTGTATATGGATATCTAATTGTAATAGAATCACTTATTTAAAAAAAAGTCCTTTTCCCATTCAATTAGTTTGGTTCCTTAGTTGAAAATCAATTGACCAAATATACTTGTTTCTATATCTGAACTCTGTATTATCTCCATTAATATGTACATCTACCCTTACACTGATACCATATTCTCTTGATTACCAAACATTTATAGTATCTCTTTCAGTCAGATATGTATACCCTTCAAATTTGTTCTGCTTTTTCAAAGTTATTTTTACTATTCTAATTCCTCTCATTTGCATATACATTTAAACAAGAGATTTTCAAGTTCTTCAAAAATTAAGCCTGTCAGGACTTTGATAGGGATTACATTGAATCTATAGTTCTGTTTGGGAAGAGTTTCTGTCTTAACAATACTGCGTCTTCTGATTAATGAACATGTTATATCTCTCTGTTTTAAAATTTTGTCTTTATTAGTTTTCAATGTTCTATTGTTTTCATTTATAGATCTTACATATATTGTTAATTCATTCCTAAATATTTCATATTTTTACTTACTATTGTAAGTAATATTTGTTTTCAATTTCAATTTTCATTTAGTCATAATTCAGATACAGAAACACAGTCAAATTTTGTATATTGACATCATAAGTTGTGACATTGCTAAATTTGTTTATTCATTCTTGTGACTTTTCTGTATGTTAGGATTTTCCTCATAAACAATCATGTCATCTGTGATTAAAACAGTTTACTTCCTCCTCTTTGATTTGTATGCTTTACTTGTCTTATTGCATTGACTAGGTCTTTTATTTCAACATAGAATAAAAGTGGTATGAGTAGACATCTTATAATGTTTTTATTGTAAAGGGATAGTATTCTATTTTTCACTGTTGATTATGAAGTCAGCTATAGGTTTTTATACATGCCTTTGATTAGGTTGAGAGTTCCCTTCAATTTCTAGTTTGATGATAGTCTCCTTGCCATTTAATTATGGAAAGGTGTGAGTCTTGCCAAATTTATTTTTGCATCTTTTGGGATGATTACACATATATATATAATTACACTTGGTAAGATCCTTATTCTTTGTGTGTATTGCCGGATTCTATTTTCAAAAATGTGTTAAAGACATTGCATTCAATTAATGAAGCATTTTGGTCTCTAATTTTTTTTCCTTGTAAAGCCTGGATTTTGTATCAGGGTATGTCTGACCTTATTACAATAAGATTGAAAGACCATTTGCTGAAGAATTTGTGTGAAAGTACTGTGATTTCTTCCATAAGTGTTTGGTTGCATTCATCTCAGCCTGGAGTTTTCACTGGAGGGGAGATTTTAAACACCTAGATTCAATTTACCTAATACATAAAAAACTGTTTAGTTTGTTTTTTTCTTATGTAAGCTTTAACAGTTTTTATCTTGCAGATGATTTGCATATTTTATCTTCATTGTCAATTTATTGGCATATATTGTTTATAATATTATTTATTAGTCTTTAGATGCTTGTAGGATTTGTGGTGATGCTTGTAGGATCTGTGATTCATGTCTCCTGCTTGTTCTGGTTACTATGACTACACTTTATATATTTCAATTATCTTTGCAAAGAACCAGCTTATGGTTGCATTGTTTTTCTCTATTATTTCTGTTTTTATTTTATTCTTTTGGATTTTATTATTAGAATTTCTTTTTGTCTCCTTACTTTGTGTTTAATTTCTTTTTCTGGTTTCTTAAGATAGAAGATAAAATCATTAATATGAGAACTTTCTTATTTTCTAATATGAGTGTTTACAATTATAATTTTTCCTCTAAGTACTGCTCAGCTCCATTCAACAAATACTGATATATTTCATTTTGATTTTCATTTAATTCAGAATTTCTTAGTTTTGCTTGTAATTTCTTCTTTAATTTATGGATTATACTTATGGATTTTGGAATGTGTTGATTTGTTTTCAAATATCTGGGGACTTTCCAGATTTCACCTTATTTATGTCTGGTATACTTTCATTTGGTCAGAGAACATTATTTTGCATAAGTTCACTCCATTCCAGTTAATATTTGCTTTGCGGGTCAGAATGTGGCCTTAGTAAATGTTCCATGTTAACCTAAAAAGAAGGCATGTTTAATGTGGTTTTTGAGTGCACTATTCTCTAAATATAAGCATGTGCAAGTTGGTTAACAGTATTGTTCAAGCCTTCGATATTCTTGGTGATTTTCTGGCTGCTTGTTTAATTACTGAAAGAGAAGTGCTAAAATCTCCAGTGATAATCATAGATATGTCTATTTCTCCTCTTATAAAATTTTACTCCATATATTTTGAAGTTCTGTTACTGGGTCCCTACACATTCAGGATTGTTATGCCCTTCTGATGAAACTTTTTATGAAATCTTTATGAAATTTCCTTCTTTGTCACTGGTAATATGTACTTTGTTCTATGATGTACTTTGTCTAATGTTAATAAAGCAACTCCAGCTTTCTTTCAATTTTTGTTTTTCATCGAATTTCTTTTTAAATCTTCTTACTTTTAACTTGTGTCTTCATATTTAAAATGAATTTCTTACAGTCACCATATAATTAGTCCTTGCTTTTTAATCCAATCCAACAATTCATGCCTTTTTTAGTTTCAGTGCCTAGATATAATTTTTGATAATGTGGGTTTTTAATGTACCTTAAAATTTGTTTCTGTTTGTGCCACCTGTTATTTGTTTCTTTTTCCTCTTATTTTCTTCATCTCCTACTTTGACTTAAGAGCTATACCTCTGTTTTATTGGGCTAGTAGTTGTTTCCACTCTTTCAATAAGTATCTTTAACTTTTCACAGCCTACTTTCAAATAATATTATAATACTTCATATATAATACAAGTACCTTACCAGAGTGTACTTAAATTTTCCTCACCATTCTGTAGATAGTGTGGTCATAACACTGTTTCTGCAAAAGTCAGAAACTCCAAAATATATGGCTATTATATTTGTGTTAAACAACTGATTACCGATTAAAGATATTTTAAATAACAATGTCTTTTATATCTGTCTATATATTTACCATTCTTAGCACTCCTCATTTCTTGTGCAAAGGCAATTTTCCTTCTGGCATCATTTTCCTTCTGCCTGAAGAATTTTTTTTTTTTTTTTAGTTCAGGATTGTTGATTTTTTTTTTTAACTTTTGTTTACAAGAAACTCTATTTTGTTTCCTTTTTGAAAGACAGTGACATTACCTTAAATTGTAAGCAAATTTAGGGAAAGAGACATCTTTAAAGCACAGTCATATGCCACATTCAGAACGTATTGGTCGATGACAGACCTCATATACTATAGTGACCCTGTAAGACTGTAGTGGAGCTGAAAAATTCCTATCACTTAGTGACTGTTGCAGCTATCATAATAATGCAACATGTTGCACATATGTTTGTGGTGATGCTGGTGTAAACAGTCCTACTTTGCTGCCAGTCTTATAAAAGTATACCATGTACAATTATGTAAAGTACCTAATACTTCACAATGGTTACAAACTACTGTGTTACTAGTTTGTATATTTATTATCCTATACTTTTTATCGTTATTTTAGAGTGTGGTCCTCCTTATAAAAAACAGCCTCATGCAGGTTCTTCAGGAGGCATTCTAGAAGAGGGCATTATTGTCATACAAGATGACAGCTCCATGTGTGTTATTGCCCCTGAAGACCTTCTGGGGGAACAAAATATGGAGGCAGAAGACAATGATATTGATGGTCTTGACCCAGTGTAGGTCTAGGCTAATTTTCTTTGTTTGTGTCTAAGTTTTTAACCAAAAGTTTAAAAAGTAAAAAAAAAAAAAAAAAAAAGTAGAAAAAAGTTTTTACAATAAGAATATAAAAAATAAAATGCTTTAATATTTTTAATTGAAGAAAGAAATTAAAAATAAATTTAATGTAGCCAAAGTATACAGTGTTTATAAAGCCTACAATAGTGTATAGTAATGTCCTAGGCCTTCACATTCTCTCACCACTCATTCACTGACTCAACCAGAACAACTTCCAGTTCTGCAAGCTCCATTTATGTTAAGTGCCCTATGCAGATATACCATTTTTTAACCTTTTATACCATATTTTACCTATCTTTTCTGTGTTTAGATATATAAATACCATTGCATTACAATTGTCTATAGTATTTAATATAGTAGCATGCTGTAGAGATTACAGCCTAGGAGCAATAGGCTATACCATATAGCCTATGTGTGTAGTAGGTTACACCATCTAGACTCATGTAAGTACACTTTATAATGTTTGCACTAGACAAAATTTCTTAGAACGAATTCCTGTCATTAAGCGACACATAATGGTAGTCCATTTTCTGATCTAGAAACTCAGTATATGTATTTATCTAACATTATATTTTTTGTAAACTTTAAAGACTAGGTACCCTAATTTTTGCTGTTAGGTTTATTCCTTTCTCTTTTTTATGTTTATGTCATTGCTGCATATGCATTTCTTATTTAAATTATCTTTTAAAGGGTTATTATTGGCTTTAAGAAAGCTAAATTTTTAATATTTACTTTTAATTTGGCTTTCTTTCAAAAATGTGAATGAGAATTTTACAAGTCTGATGTGGGTTGATAAGAGCAGTGTAATTGACTCTCTCCATTAAACAAACCTATCTATTGGTGGGACAGAAACTCCCATTTCCGATTGGTACAAACCTTAGATCTCTGAGCCATGGCAAGCAATACCATGAACTGGAAAGTCTCCCTACTTATTGGCAAGCAATACCACAAACTGGAAAGTCTTCCTACTTATTGGTAGGACTGCACTCCTTTTTAAATTAAAATATGCATGTATTTCCCCCAATATTTCTGTATTCAATTCTGTGAACTTTTTTTTAAAATAAAATATATCAGAATTTGCTAATTTCTTACCTGGAAGACTTGCCTTACCAAGTTGTAATCTTTGCTTCTTCTTCTCAGTCTTTATGAATATTTCATTGAAAATTCAATAAGGATAATTTGTGGGTTCTTAATTAGATACCCTTTTGAAGAGAAAGTCTCAATGTACCATTGTTAGAGCATCATTGAACCAAATAACAAAGTTTCGAACAAAAAGAATCAGAACACTATTTTGAGGAAATCCATCCAAGAACAATAGTGTGTTGTAGTTCAAGTCAAGCATTTTTTAAGGTGTTATGCCTTTCCTTGTGCAAAACACACATACATTATGATCTTGAGAAGCTCTTAGCTTTACGTTAGAATAATGTATTATTTTAGTCCTTCATACAGCATTTCTGTGAAAATTCATTCTAAGTAACTTTCCACTTTTTATTGTACTTCCTTGGTTTGCATTATTGCATTTATTCTTGTCTAAATGTATCTTCCACACTAATTTGCTTATATTTATTATGTCTCCCTTCACTAGAATGTAAACTCAAGAGAGCAGGACCTTGCATGTCTTAATGACATATCTAAAATAGTATGTGGCATGTAGTAGGTATGTAATAAATAATTTTGGATAAATATATAATAAAAGTGCTTAATATAAGTGTCATATGTTCCATTAAGAAACAGAGCGAAGGCCGGGCACGGTGGCTCATGCCTGTAATCCCAGCACTTTGGGAGGCCCAGGCAGGCGGATCACGAGGTCAGGAGATCGAGACCATCCTAGTTAACACGGTGAAACCCCGTCTCTACTGAAAATACAAAAAATTAGCCAGGCGTGGTGGCAGGCGCCTGTAGTCCCAGTTACTCGGGAGGTTGAGGCAGGAGAATGGCGTGAACCAGGGAGGTGGAGGTTGCAGTGAGCCGAGATCGCGCCACTGCACTCCAGCCTGGGCGACAGAGAGACTCAAAAAAAAAAAACAAAAACAAAAACAAAACAAAACAAAAAAAACCAGAGGGAAAACATTAGTTTTGCTAGGGATATTAGGGTGGAGGAAATATACAGAAAAAACTTTAAAGACTTTGCAGAATAATAGCAAATTATACAGTGGAAAAGGACGGGAATGGTAATTGTCTTAGATCAGGTTCTCTGGAAGCATAGCTTAAGGCAAAGATTCAAGTACATATGATTTATTAATGAAGAGCTCCCCAGGAAACCCTGTAAGACAGGGGAGCAGAATACAGAAGGGAAAGGAGCTCCTGAAGCATGGGGTCTCCGGTAAAGTCTAGTCTTGGCACATACACTGAGAACTTTTGAGAATAAACTCTCCTGGCATCTCGGAATAGCCAAGACAATTCTTTGGAGAAAGCCTCAGATGTAAGCCATTAGTTTCAGGCCTAGCAGCAGCTGGGGATGACTGCACCCCAGCCAGGTAAAGGGGATTTGGTTAGTTCCAGATGTGTCTGCTATTGTAATCCTTGTTGGAGGAACATGAGCAGAGGCATAGAGATACACAACTTTATGATGTGTTAGAAAGGAAGGAATAATCAAATATTGATAACATTTTATTTTAAGTGACAGCCTGGGGTAAACAAAAATTGAAAATGTGCACTTTGCCTTAATCACAGTTTATTCTTTGTTCTCTAAAATATTACTATAATACACAGCCACTCAAATTCAGCAGCACATGCACTAAGTAAACTAATTAATAAATAATAAATAAAAATTATTAAGAAATAACGCATAATGTTTTAATAAAGCTGGATTTTTATTCATACTATAGTCTTTTCTGGAGAAATAAATCATTTATTTAGAATACTAGGTGTTGTGTATAACCCAAGAGTTTCACTTCCCCAACTCCCATTTTAATTGGATAATTTTCAATAGCTACTACTCTAGAAGGCAGACCAGACATCTTTTGTGAATCATCAGACACGTCCCAAATCATAACAAATGCTAGTCTCGTCTGAGTTCAAAGGGACCTCTTTAAAATTATAGCTAAAATAATTCTATAAGTTGATTTTTTTTAATCTAAAATACCTCTCTTATCCACAGATCAAGGGAGACTTGATTTGGGGATTCAACAGTTACTTTGCACCAATAAAATCTAAAATACACACAAAGCTTGGGAAATTGCTTTAGGTTACTTGTTAGGATAAGTTGAGGTAAAAAGTTAAGTCTTGTTACAAATTGAGAAGATATAAACAAACTTTTGTTCTTTTATCTTTTTTTTTTTTTTAATCAAGAGGAAATGAACATTGTGAGCCAGGGCTTCTGCAAAAAAAATAAAAATAAAATGCCTAACTTTATTCCTGCAGATTTCGGAGAAAAGATAAACTGTTATTGTGTCATCACTAAAAAAGATGCTATCTAGTTAGACTGAATGAAAGATGATGGTTTCACTGTCAAGAAACAGCAATCTCCTAAGACTTTTTTTCATTTAAATTCTCTTTGCAAGATTGTTCTTATCTTTTGTAGGCCTAATGTCTAAACTGTTTTCATTTCAAAGGAATTTAATATGGAAGCACTGGGGTTGAAAAGATGTCAAGTCTTGACTAAACTTTCAAATCTAAACCTGTCTGGGCTTTTGGTTCTACATGAGTAGAACAGTGTATAATACCTAGTCAGGTGGGCCAGCCACAAACAGAAATTATCATATAAAAGGGATTTAAGTACTTGAATTTCTCTGTTTATCTCGGTCCCTCTCTTGTTTACTCATCTATTCTTCTTATTAAAAATTGTGTTATTAACCTCTTCCAATTAGGTAAAACTTCTTACATATAGCTGACCTTAATGCATGAATATCAGTTAAGTGCAGCATAATAATTAAGCGCAGAGACAGTAAAGACAGACTGCTCAAATTACAGCTCCATCACTTACTAGTCGTGTGACATTGGGTGAGATATTTATGGATTCTACACTCTCATTTATTGCTCTACAAAGTGGAATAAATAATAGAACCAGTCTCATTCGTGTGTTCATATACACTCATGTATGTGGGCACATGTGTGTAAAAATTAAATGAATTCGTATTTGTAACATGCAGCAAGAAAATTTCTGGCACTAGCATTGTGATTGATCTATCCCTAACTCTTTGAATCTCGTAATTTCCATTTCATTCATAATTTCATGTATATCAAAAGGAGGAAATCTTTAGGTCAGGAATGGTGGCTCACACCTGTAATCCCAGCACTATGGGAGGCCAAAGAAGGCAGATTGAGCGGAGGAGTTTGAGACCAGCCTAGGCAACATGGCAAAGCTCCATCTCTGAAAAAAACTGAAAAAAATAGCCAGGGTTTGTCGTTCATGCCTGTAGTCCTAGCCATTTGGGAGGGCAAGGCAGGAGGGTCATTTGAACCTGGGAGGCAAGGTTGCAGTGAGCTGAGATTCTGCCACTGCACTCCAGCTTGGGTGATAGAGCAAGACCCTGTCTCAAAAAAAAAAAAAAGAAGGTCAAGAAATAAAAAAGAAATCTTCAAATGTGTCAGACCCCAAGTAGGTGCTCAATACATATTTAAATTTAGTAATGTACAAACAATAAAAATCCTAAGCTTACCTAATCTTTGTCTGAGGAAGCTATGAGAATTGAGAAAAGTCATTTCTTCTGACTATAGAATTATCCATTCACAAATTGTTTCACATAAGATTCACTGATTTCACAATTGTGATTATCACAATGTGAGAGTTATTGATTGGAAAGGCAATAAGTAGTAGCAGGCCCGCAATTCATTCTTTCCCTTTCTATGGGAGAGGGTATAGTAATACTACAAGAGAAGGAAGGGAGGAAGGAAAGTAGGGAGGGAGGGAGGAAAGGAGAGATATGGTGGAAGGCAGAAAAAACTTTCACACTGACCGTCACATCCAAGTGACATAGCCCTACACCTTATTATTTTTACCCTTTTATAGATCTTCAATTGGCCAGAGAAGCCCAGTTCACTGAATTTTGCTTTACCAATACAATAGATCTGGCCCAGGGTCTCAGAAAACACTTGATATTTCCGTCCACTCTGCTTACACAGATAACACTAAAAAGCAAATTCCGCATTTGTCTATTGAAATATGTCTTACTCTTTTGTGCTGCTGTAACAAAATACCTGAGATTGTGTAATATTTATAGAAAAAATTTTATTTCTCACAGTTCTGAAGGCTGGGAAGTCCAAGATTAAGGCACTGGCAGGTTTAGTGTTGGGTGAGAGCTACACTCTCAACCATATTGCTGCATGCTTCAGAGGAGATAAATGCTGTGTTCTCACATGGTGGAGGTGGAAGAGCAAAAGGGAATGAACTCATTTCCTTCAGCCTTTTATAAAGGCCCCAATCCCTTCCATGAGGGCTTTGCTCCACCTTAATAAGTTAATCACCTCCTAAAGGCCCAACTTCTTAATACTGTCACATTGGTGATTAAGTTTCAACATATGGATTTTGGGAGACATTCAGACCACATCAGGTTATAAATTTTCATAGAGCCAAAACCATTTTACGAGGAGGACTTAAAGCTCTGTTTAAAGCTAGATGCAAAGCAAAATCTCTGTCTCCTACTGCAACAATTATAGTTAAGTACAAGTAAGAGTGTTCCAAAAGATTAAGGAGACAGACATGTATCTCTCTGTTTTGATTTTCCTTTTCTGTCTCATATAATATCTAAGCCCAGGCCTATCATTCTAGCTTGAGAAGACTGAGTGAGTTTAGTTGATCTCCAACAGATATTAAGAAAAGATTTTCTTTCTTTCTTAAGCATGCATGTGAATAACACTGCCTGCATTCTTGTACATGTGCCCATATATGTTGACTGTTTTGTTGTGCTTTGAATTGACTCCTTTAATGACTGGATTGGTACAATTCAAAATTTTAGTCCGGACATTAAAGGAAGTATTTGCTGTCTTTTGTTTGAACGTTTATAGAGAAAATAAAAAAAACACTGTATAGGAGTTCTATATTGGGCCTTGTGACCAAATCACCAATTAATGTAAAGGTTTACTTGACTCTGTTTTCAATTATTTTCTATGCATATATATGTATGTGTGTAATATATATATAAAATATATGTATGTGTACACATATAAACTATATATGTATGTATATATGTATGTGTGTATGTGCTTGAATGTATGAATATGTGTGTGTAAATATGTATGTGTGTGTATATATGTTAATATAGGTGTATATTCTATGTGTATATATAGAATATATATAAAGAAATGTGTGTATGTATGTGTATATACATATATATACACACACAATCACAAACAAACACAGATTTCTTTTTTGCCCGGCAGGTAGGATAGGAGGACTGGTTGGGTCAGAATTTAAATATTCTTGGATCTTTGCATAAAATCCCACTGTCATATAATACTTTCTTCATGGCATTTCAGCCTAACCCTTACATCCAGCAAAAGTAACTTCATAAAATTCCTTAAATACGGGCTTAAGTAGGTTTTCTTGCCTCTTCTTGCACTGAAGTTAGTCCTGTAGTTGAATTCATAATATGTGTTCCCTTAAGCTCTCAATCTTGTGCAAATAAATCTTTACAGATGGCTATAGCAACAAATTCAAGGACAACAGGAAAACACTGACAAATAAAACAAACAGACTAGAGAGAACAGTAGAGAAATGTTCACAAGATATGACATAACTACCAGTGACTTCTTTTTCCCTTGCTAAGAAAAAGAATGCAGCAAGAGAGCTGGGGGTTTACCTCATCTCAAACCTTGCAAGTGTTTAACATTTTAATTCCCCTAACACCAAGAAGCTTGAGAAACAGGGATGTCAAGTCTGACTTTCTACAGAATTATGATCAAACAGGGACATACGTTTGTTACATTTGTAGAAAAGAAATCCAGGTATGGATTTGGAATGATTAAAACCAGATCAAAAAGACAGCCCCCAAAGCATTTCACTCACATTAATATAACAGTTTTCCTCATAAATCTCTTATGCCTCTATTTGGCTTCTGTAGACAGGCTAAGTCTCCTGGGTTTCATCTCAATGAAGGTTTAATTTGTCTCATTTCCGCCTCTGTGGGAGAATTTTTGATGGTTGTCTAGATTCTCTCTAAAATATCTATTTTAGAATAATAGGTCGTATTTTCATTTGACACTTAAAATGCCTATTTCTAAAGTAAACAGTGGGAAATTTTTAGTTCACTGTAACGTATATTTGAGCTTAGAGAGCTCTGAGGGTTTATGTTAATTAGCGAAGAAGAAAACATCAATAAATAAGATTTCAACGCAAAGGAAATCCTCAAAATTTGATGAGCAGGTATATATCAGAGATGAAGAATTTGAACATAAAATCAGAAAACAAAATGTTCAATCTAGTCAATCTAAGAATGTTTCCACTGTGCAGAAGAAGCAAAAGGATAATTTTCATTGCCCTGCAGCTTGTATGTTGTACTTAATAAGAAATGTGAGTAACAAAAGAATACCACTTTATAAAGTGGAATAGAATTGATTTTCATTTATCAGTGCTCTCCTAGAAAGCACTGGGATTTGAAGGTGAATTCCACTGGGTTAATGTGAAAACAATTTGCATTGGCATTAAAACACTCTTCAAGGGGCAAATACAACAAAATAAACATATTTCAGGCAAACATATGAAAGATAACTGTATAACAGTGCCTATATTTCAATGATCTACACAGAATTTATATTTTTTTAGGTTGAATTCAAACAAATTAAAAACATTTTCTAAAATAATTTAAAAGTTCCATGTTTGTCTTCATTAGCCTATTTATTTCACTTTCATTACTGTAATTATTTATTGCTCTCTTTAAGCATCAAATGTTTCTAAGGGTACCCTTAATGCATAGTGTTTTAGGTGCCCAACTCCACATCTTCTTAAATAAAAGTAGCTAGGCTATCTACTCTCTATTTTATAGCTGTGAGTCACAACAGTAACACAAAAACAAAATAAAACAAAAAAATACAAAACTCAACAGTAATCTAATTTTTGCCAAAATATCTGGATAGTTGGCTTAGTTTGTCAGCTTGAAGTTCACTTTTATCCTGTTATCAGAGTAAAGGACCAACTGTCTACATGCATGGTAGCCAGAATCTTTCTGAGATGGTCTAAATGTGGGCATACTTTAATTAATGATGTGGCTTGGCTGTGTCCCCACCCAAATCCCATCTTGAATTGTAGCTCCCATAATTCACACATGTTGTGGGAGGGACACAGTGAGAGACAATTGAATCATGGGGGTGGTTTCTCCCATACTGTTCTCACAGTAGTGAATAAGTCTCATGAGATCTGATGGTTTTAGAAGGGGTTTCCTCTTTCACTTGGTTCTCATGCTTTCCTGACTGCTGCCATGTAAAATGTGACTTTGCTCCTTATTCACCTTCTGCCATAATTGCAAGGCCTCCCTAGTCATGTGGAACTGTGAGTCAATTAAACCTCTTTCCTTTATAAGTTACCCATTCTCAGATATGTCTTTATCAGCAGTGTAAAAACAGACTAATACAGTAAATTGGTAGTGGGAGTGGGGCACTGCTGTAAAGATACCCAAAAATATGGCAGTGACTTTGGAACTGTGTAACAGGCAGAAGTTGGAACAGTTTGGAGGGCTCAGAGAAACACAGGAAAATGTGGGAAAGTTTGGAACTCCTGGAAACTTGTTAAATGTCTTTGACGAAACTGCTGATAGTGATATGGACAATGAAGTCCAGGCTGAGATGGTCTCAGATGGAGATGAGTAACTTGTTGGGATCTGGAGCAAAGGTGACTCTTGCTATGTTTTATCAAAGAGACTAGTGTCATTTTGCCTCTGCCCTAAGATTTGTGGAACTTTTTACTTGAGAGAAATGATTTAGGGCATCTGGCAGAAGAAATTTCTAAGCAGCAAAGCGTTCAAGAAGTGACCTGGGTACTATTAAAAGCATTCAGTTTTATGTATTCACAGAGATATGGTTTGAAATAGGAACTTATGTTTAAAAGGGAAGCAGAGCATAAAAGATCAGAAAATTTGCAGCCTGTTGACGCAATAGAAGAGAAAAACCCATTTTCTGGGGAGAAATTCAAGCTGGCTGCAGAAATTTGCAAAAGTAATGAGGAGCCAAATGTTAATCGCCAAGACAATAGGAAAAATGTCTCTAGGGCATGTCAGAGGTCTTCATGGCAGCCCCTCCAATCACAAGCCAGGAGGCCTAGGAGGAAAAAATGGTTTCATGGGCTGGGCTCAGGGCCTTGCTGCTTTGTGCAGTCTTGGGACTTGGTGCCCTGCATCCCACCTGTGCCTAAAAGAGGCCAACATGGAGCTCAGGCCATTGCTTCAGAGGATGCAAGCCCAAAGTCTTGGTGGCTTACACATGGAGTTAGGCCTTCACTTGCACAGAAGTCAAGAATTGAGGTTTGGGAACCTCTGCCTAGTTTTAGAGAATTTATGGAAATGCCTGGATGTCCAAGCAGAGATGTGCTGGAGGGACAGGACCTTCACGGAGAACCTCCGCTAGTGCAGCATGAAGGGAAATGTGGGGTGCGAGACCCCACAGTGTCCCCAGTGAGGCACTACCTAGTGGAGCTGTAAGAAAAGGGCCACCGTCCTCCACACACCAGAATGGTAAATCTACCAACACCTTTCACTGCGTGCCTGCAAGAGCCACAGACACAACACCAACCCATGAAAGCAGCCAGGAGGAGGGCTGTACCCTGCAAAGCCATAGGGGTGGAGCTGCCCAAGACTATGGAAACCCACCTCTTGCATCAGAGTGACCTGGATGTGAGACATGGAATTAAAGGAGATCATTTCAAAGCTTTAATGTTCGACTGGCCTGTTGGATTTTGAACTTGCATGGGGCCTTTAGCTCCTTTGTTTTGACCAATTTCTCCCATTTAAAATGGGTGTGTTTATCCAATGCCTATAGTTCCATTGTATCTAGGAAGTAACTAATGTGCTTTTGACTTTAAAGACTCATAGGCAGAAGGGACTTGACTTGTCTCAGATGAGCTTTTGGACTGTGGATTTTTTAATTAATGCTGAAATGAGTTAAGACTTTGGGGGAATGTTGGGAAGACATGATTGGTTTTGAAATGTGAGGACATGAGATTTGGGAGGGGCCAGGGTGTAATGATATGGTTTGGCTGTGTCCTTGTCTAAATCTCTTCTTGAACTGTGGCTCTCATAATTACGCTGTGTTGTGGGAGGCACCTGGTGGAAGATAATTGAATCATGGGGGCAGTTTTCCCCATACTGTTCTCATGGTAGTGAATAAGTGTCACCAGATCTAATGGTTTTATAAGGGGTTTCTCCTTTCACTTGGCTGTCATGCTGTCTTGCCTGCCACCATGTGAGACATGACTTTGCTCCTCATTCACCTTCCACCATAATTGTGAGGGCTCTACAGCCATGTGGAACTGTGAGTCAATTAAACCTCTTTTCTTGTAAATTACCCAGTTTCGGGTGTGTCTTTATCAGCAGTGTGAAAACGAACTAATACAATTAACGATTGATTTTATAACACATGAAAATGCACTGTTTTATAAAATCTTAGTGTCTCTTGTTATTCTAATTGACTGAAGAGAAGAAAAACACCTGGGGCTTAGTCAAAGTCACATTGTCTGCATGATTTCTAAGACATCATTGCCTCCTTCCTCATTTTTCTGTTGATTAATATCAAATATACAGGGAAAGTGATCTGGACTGGAAATTCAGGAAGCTAGACCACCTTTCTAGGAGTTGGTCTAGCTTCCTGAATTTTCAGACCAGATCACTTTCCCATATATTCCTTTGGCTTTTTTTTTTTTTTTTCAAGTCTAAAATCTAGATGGAGAATTGAAAATAGATGACATTGGCTGGGTGCAGTGGCTCATGCTTGTAATCCCAGCACTTTGGGAGGCCAAGGCGCGTGGATCACCTGAGGTCAGGAGTTCGAGAACAGCCAGACCAACATGGAGAAATCCTGGCTCTACTAAAAATACAAAATTAGCTGGGCGTGGTGGTGCATGCCTGTAATCCCAGCTACTCAGGAGGCTGAGGCAGGAGAATCACTTGAAACTGGGACTCAGAGGTGGTGGTGAGCCGAGATCGTGCCATTGCACTCCAGCCTGGACAACAAGACCAAAACTCTGTCTCAAAAAATAAAAGAAAAAAAAAAAGAAAAGAAAATAGATGACATTAAGTATTGGCATTTAATTTCAGGTATTTCTCTGCATGAAAATTCTTAAACTATTAACTTAGTAATGCTATTTTGAGCACACCAAAGGCAATCATAATGGTACACACTGGTACAGTCAGACTAGGAAAAAATTAGGAAAGAGATGATGATACGTTAGAAATTTAACTTTTATTTTAACATTTAATATATTTGTGTGTATATAACTATGTAATTGACCTTATCATAGTAGTAGATAGATTTGACTTTAAAATTATTTTATACTTGGTATTTAGCAGACAGTAGCTTGATTTTTTGCCTTGTTAATTTAACGATAAAATTATTTTTTCTCCTTGCCTTACACATTTGAAAATTTTAGATAATCTGGCCGGGTGCGGGGGCTCACACCTGTAATCAAAGCACTTTGGGAGACCGAGGCGGGCATATCACCTGAGGTCAGGAGTTTTGAGACTAGCCTGGCCAACATGGTGAAACCCCGTCTCTACTAAAAGTACAAAAATTAGCCAGGTGTGGTGGCGCACACCTGTAATCCCAGCTACTCGGGAGGCTGAGGCAGGAGAATCGCTTGAACCCAGGAGGCAGAGGTTGCAGTGAGCCGAGATTGCGCCAGTGCACTCCAGCCTGGGCAACAAGAGCAAAACTCCATCTCAAAAAAAAAATTAGATAATCTATCCAGACTTTTGCGATATAGTTTGTAACACTGGCCCTGATGTGAAATTACTGGAAGCTCACTTCAACAACCTGCCTTTCTCAGTCCTCTCCTCATCCACCTCTCAATTCCAAATAACTAACACTATGAAGTGATGCATATGTTTTTAATTTTTTGATAGGAAAATCTTATATTTTACATATTAATATACAATCATTTTCAAATACTCCTTTTCAAGAAAACAATGGTTGAAAACAACAAGATTACATAAAACAAGATCATTATGTTGATAGGTAAGATGTAAAAGGGGATTATTTTTTCCCAAAAAATTTGATAAACTCAATCTTTAGGAAAATCACCGACAAGATCATATGGATGATAACAATGACAGTAAACCTAGTTTCTCATTAGTGGGCATTAGCTTGCAGAAAACAAAATTAGCTTTGTAAATGTGTATTATTTGTATTACTATCTATAAACCATTATTTTTAGGAAAAGATGAAGTAGTTACACTATTTCACCCAAGATAAAAGAATTCAGAAAAAAAATACATTTTATAGTTACTATTTACAGAGAGTTTTATAAATGTTAAGATTCTAAAGAAGCCTTAAGCTTATTGAGCTAGTGTTCTCATTTTAACATGTGTGTGATTACAGTAAGCTGTGTCAAAAGTCATCCTCTGAGTAAGGTTACTGAGGGAAAAGTGAGAGCCAAAACGTTATAAATAACTCTAAACTGATTTTCATAGGTAGTTTTGTTTTCAAAAAGCATACACAAGGTATACTGCTGATTTATTCTTCAATTTTGTTGAGCCTTAAATCTGCGTGGAGAGCATGATCAGTGTTCTGAATGTCTGTTGACAGATACTCTTAAAGAAAGGAAAGTCACTCAGCATGCTGTCTGAACTCTCAGACTGTATTAACATTGTCGTGTCATATTTCCTTCCTGGCATATCATAGTGATATTTAAATCTCTCCTTTTATGCTTCCATATATTCACACGACTTATTTCAAAGTTCCCCTGCGTGTCGGAATTTGTAATTGCACACAAAAATATGAGGGAGCTATAACTACATTTGAAATATGATGTTAAGAATTATGTCTGATCCTGGTAAATTATCTGATATATGTATGTAAGGCTATTTAGAAACAAAAAAATAATTATGTTTTCTGTAATGTATTAAGCAAATTATGGAAATTTTTTAAAATAAATTGTTCCAAAATGAAATCAAATGTGCTGGATAAAGGCCATGTTTGGGCTTGCCCGTTTTCCTGAAAGGAGCACATTCTAAAATAATATCATCTGATATAAAACCACTTTTCATTTTTGGAAGTTTTGAATGCACTTGACCTCTCTGAAACGATCAGATATATAGCATATTGGAAATAAGGAAAATATAGGTAAAAATGCTCAATAATTTTTAAATAGCAGGTTATTTCCTCTTCTGAAATTTTTAACTAAAAAAATTAAGTGACATGGTATTTGAATGAGGTTTTATCATTTAAGCTTGAGGAGATTTTGATGTAATTATTTATATTATAATTCTTCAGGTTGTTCTGCAGTAAGCAAGTCTATGCAAACCTCTTCCCAAAGTCCAAGGAAACTGAGAGACCAAAGAAAGAGGCTGACAAATCCAATTTTTCAGAAAGTAACATCTAATAGAAACTTATGAACAGAAGTCATGTCTGTGTTTTGGGCAGCTGTGAGACAAGATGATGGATCCCAGGGCCATTATCCCCCAGACCCAGGCTTTATAAATCACAGGGAAGGAATGTGTAGGATAACCGAAATCAACATCTCAAGGAAAAGCAAAAATGGTATGTGAATCTGCCGAAGGGCAGGATTTATTGTCAAGGTTGTTTTGACCTAAGGGTAGGATTTATGTTAAGTACACAAGAAACAGTGATAAAATAGAAATCTTAGAGGCATTTCTGGAACTGGAGTTAGTCAGAAGCCAACATGGCAGATTTGCATCGAAGATGGATTTGCCTTTAGCCTCCGTATAAGTACATACTACTGAACTCTAAATGCTTAAAGGAAGAGACTATGTCCATTTTAGTATAGATTTAATATACTTACTAAATCTATATGGCATCAAAACTTCATGAATATTGTTAACAAATGATTTTGGTAGCTCAGATAAGCATTATTACATTGTTGTTTATCTGTATATTTTTCACAGAAGTGCTTTTCAAATTCTTTTGAAAACTTAGTTTTACAGGGGGTTTGTAGTTTCAATAATTACACACACACACACACACACAAAGGAGTCAAACAATAAAGAATTTTTCATCTTGCTATGAAGATCTTAACTGCCATACATTCCTGTTCTTGATTTGTATTAATTCTATATTTTTATGATTTTAATAAATGTCTAGAATCATGTAATCATCACCCCAATGAAGAAATGGGACATTTTTATCTCATGAGAAAGTTCCCTTTGCAGTCAATCCTACTTCCTCCCTCCACATCACAAAAGTGATTTGATTTCTGTCATTATAGATTAGTTTTATTTGTTCTGAAGTTTAAATAAATTGATCATACAGTGTATAGTCATTTGCATCTAGCTTCTTTTGCTCAACATAATATCTCTGAAATTCAATCATATTGTTTTCTGTATCTGCAATTAGTTCATTTTCATTGCTGACTACTATTCCATTGTTTAAATTTACCACAATTTGTTTATCCACCCACCTGTTGATGGACAGTTTGTTTCCAATTCTTTACTAGGAATAAAGTTGCTATGAGCATTCTTGTATAAGTCTTTTTTTGGAAAGATGTTTTTATTTCTCTTGGGTGAATGCCCAGGAGTGAAATTGATGAGGTATATGGGAAGTGGATATTTAACTCTAAAGTGGCTGTACACTACTGCATTTCCACTCATAATGTATTAGAGTTTCAGTTACTCTGTATCCTCACCAGCCATTGTAATGCTGATCTTCTTAAATTTAGAGATTCTACTGGGGATGCAGCAGTATTTAATCTGGATCAGATTAGTTATTAATCTATATCAATTTATTTGAATTTCTCTGATAACTAATGATATTGAGTATCTGTTCCTGTGTTTATTGGCAATTTACTAATTCTCTTTTGTAAAGTTTCCTCAAGTTTTTTTTATAGTAGGTTGTTTCATATTATTGGGTTATGAGTTACTTTGATATTCACCTGTCAAGTCCTTTCCAGGGATATGTATTGAAATTTTTTCTACCATTATATGGCATGCCTTTTCATGTTCTTTAATGATATTTTTGAAAAGCAAACATTTAAATTTGCTGACATTATGTTTGATCTTTTACATTTTTTATTTCCTTTTTCATAAATGGATTTACCTTACAACAGTTTAATTCCATTTACCTAACCTCCTCCTTTGCTCTTTTATTATGAAAACAAAAAGTTAATAGTTAATATATATTAAACACCTGACACTGTTTTTTTTTAGACAGTAATTTTTTTATAAAGAAGTCACAAGAAGAAACCACTATGTTTGATTAATTCTGAAGCTCTTTATCCTTTCTTTCAGATCCAAGGTTTTATTTGGTATCATTTTACTTCAGCCTGAAGAATATCTTTCAACACTTCTTGTAGTGCAGGTTTACTAGTGACAATTACCTTCAGTTTTCATTTATCTAACTATGTCTTTATTTCAACATCTTTTTGTGAGGACATTATAATTAGAAATTATATTTTGGTATTTGTAAAGTTTTATTTATATTTTTTAGAAGTTTCACAATTATATGTCTAAATAAGGGTTTTATTTGTTTATTTGTTTGTATTCACCCTACCTGGGCTTCACTGAGGGTCTTGAGTCTATAATTTGATAATTTAAACCAAATTTAGGACTATTTTATTCTTTATTTTTAAACTTTCTTTCTTTCTTTCTTTCTTTCTTTCTTTCTTTCTTTCTTTCTTTCTCTTTCCTTCTTTCTTTCTCTTTCTTGGTTTTTGTTATACTTAAGTTAATCCATTTAATGTTTTCTCACAGATTCCTGAGGCTCTGTTATTCTTTAATGCTATTCTCTCTATTTTTCAGAAGGGGTAATTTCTATTTATATGTCTTTGATTTCACTGGTATTGATTTTCTGACATCTTCAAGCTACTGTTATTGAAGCCCAAATTCAGATTTGTGAACCCATGTGCAGCTGATGCTGAACGCTGACAAACAGATGTTTGGAGGCAGAGAAAGGTTTATTTGATTTGGCCAAAGTGAGAAGGCAAGGCGGCAAGATCTCTCAAATCTACCTTAACAAAAAGAAGCAGCAGAGAGTTTTCATGTGGCCAGGGGGTAAGGGAGGGGTGGTTTCAGGGAATCAAAGGAAAAGGCTATATTTCATCAGTCTCAGATAACACCTTGAGCAACCAGTTTTCTGGAGGTCAGCAGCTGGTTCACAAAGTCCTTCGAGGCATTCATTCCTTCTGGAAAACCTTTGTGTGAACCCAGAGTTATCACGTTCTGCTCGACAAACAAACTATACATCAGCAGTTTATAATTACGTTATGGGAAAAAAGAATACTGGGCAAAAAGCTAGTGCAAGCAAGCAAGGACCTGATCCAAATTTTTATTATTTAAGTCACTAAAAGTGCTGGGATGCTGAAATCTCGAGTGCCCTGGTAACACTACGGTGGAACTAATTTTGGAAAAATTCCATATTCATTTGGAGACTTTTTATAGTTTCTTTTTTTGTTTGCTGATATTTCATTTATTGATTATGATACATTTTTGCTGTAATAGTTTAAATATATATTTCTTTATTTCTTCGAACCTATTTATAGTAGTTGCTTTAAAGGTTTTGTTCATTAATCTTAACATTTATGTGATCTTCAAGTTAATTTTTATTGAGTGATTATTTTGTTGGTGTGGTTAGGTGAATGTTTAACTATTTAAGAAACTACTACACTATTTTCCAAAACTGTTGTACCATTTACATTTTCATCAGTAGTATATGAAAGTTCTAGTTCTTCTACATCCTTTTTAGCACTCTGTTTTTTAGTATTTTTAGTTTTAAACTTTCTAATATTTGTATAGTGGTATCTCATTGTAGTCTTAATTTAAATTTTCCTAAAGACAAATGATATTGAGCATTTCTTCATGTCTTTATTTGCCAGCCACATATCTTTTTTGGTGAAATGTCTGTTTAAATATTTTCTAATTTTTAAAATTGGGTTGCCTATTTTCCATTGAGTTTGAAAGGCTTTTATATACTCTATACTCAATTCTTTTATCAGATGTACTATTTGCAAACATTTTCTCTCAGTATGGGGCTTATCTTTTCATCTTCAACTTTGTCTTTTGAAGAGCAGATGTTATTAATTTGATGAAATCCCACTTAACAGTTTGTTCTATCATCTAGCATGCTTTTAGTGTCACATCTAAGGAATCTTTACAATCTTAAGACTACAGTTGTTTTTCCCTATATTCTCATAGATGTTTCGAAGTTTTAGGTTTTGAATTTTGACCTGTGATCCACTTCGAATTATTTTTTATATGTGGTGAAAAGTATAAATGGAAGCTGTTGGTTTATTTTGCCTGTGGGTATCCAATCGATGTAAGACAGTTTGTTAAAAAGACCCCCAATTTTTGCCTCTTCATTGAACATGACCATCACACTCTGCTTTGTCTCCATCTCACTGTGCCGTGTTTTGGAAACTGCTCTCAGGCAAAGTTCAGAGATGTTCACGGGCTTCACCTATTGAGTTTTTCTTCTTTCAGGTATTGCTGTTTTGCAGTGATCATATTCCAGTGCTGAAAAAAGAGGGACCTTGCATATTTATTTAGTTTTATGTCAAGGGAGAGAAAGAGAAAGAGAGATTAAAAACTGATACCTCTATTTCCAGGGTCACTATATAACTGTCCAATCACTCAGGTGAGACCATCTTCTTAAAATGCCTAAACTTCCTAATTCTATGACTAAGAAATTTGGCAATATTTGAGTGTTGGAGTAATTTTGATGATTCATCAAGCAAATGCCTTTATTATTAACTTTAACTTTTATTTTTTTCATTTATACAGCCATTGTTTGGTGCTTAACCTTCCACACACTGTAATTTAAGCCCTTTGGGAAGTGTAATATGTCTTCAGTGACACAATTTTGAACTAGTTATGTAATTCTAAAACAGTAGATAGAAAAAAATCTTCCAATCACCCTTTTGTACAATCTTCTCTTGTTTCTTGAATGTTAAACCCTAAATATTGTTTTTGTATATGCTAAGCAACTGTAAATTGTTAGGAGATGATTACTGAGCAAAATAATAATAAAGAAATATACTCTCTATTTACATTAAGACAACATGACACTTCAGTTTCCATAAAAGAACAGATGAAATGGAAGTGATATTTATACTGAGGAGAAAAACACCGTGTGAGTTGAAGGTGAAAGTGGTGCTGGGAATCATCTACTTTGGAGTAGCCAGGGTAACTGAATTGGAAGTAGAAGCTGTAAGAAGAGGGAAAAAAGGTATAATTTAAGTAACCTAGAAAGAAGATTTTGACTTGCAATAGGATATTACTAATGAAAACAATATATTTTTAAGATCAATCCTACGTTAGACCAAGTAAAAATAACTCTGAAAAAAGAAATTTTTACTAAACTTGACACCTATAGGTAATAAAGATAGACCATGAGTAATTTTTAAAAATTACTCTTTAAGCCTGTCTGTGTTTAATTTCCTTATTTTATATATATACATATATATAAGCATATATATATAAACATATATATATATATAAGCAGAAAGAATTTTGTTCTTTCTGCTTATAACTTTTTAACTTCAGTGTCCTCTGTTAAAATGGGTTGTGGTACTATATAGAGTTTTGGTAAGATAAAATTAGATAATTTACATGTTTTTGGTACAGTGTCTGGCATGTAAAAACACCAGTTGTTCATTGATTATTATTTATTATTATTAATGTTGCTATCATTTTCATCATCAATCAAGAAATCCATCCTGAGAGTTCGTTATTTCTGTGATCATTTAACCGCACAAAAAGATTTAGTGATACAGGGGTACAATTGCTCCCAGGCAGGAGACTCAAGAAAAAGCCTAAACCCTTGGAAGGAGGAAAGATGGGGAAGTAGACTGAGGAAGTGAGTAAACTATGGTACTGACAGTAAGCATGGAATCTAAACCGTCGTACAGGATCAGAGCTATATATGGTTACTGCTGCCTTATTCACCTTTACAAAAACCATCTATGTTTTACTTAGTTTTCTGATAGGTAAATTCCCATACTTTCTCTTGGATATGCCTATTTGGACAGAAAGATTACAGAATGTGTTATATTTGAAAAGACAGTGAAAGAAGAATACCTCATATTGCAAGTGTTAATAGCATTTACAAAAACTATAACAGAAACGTAGTTAATGAATTTCTGAACTTCAAATCAAATTGAAGGCTGAATAAAAAATGCAGCACTTTTGGAAGCAATTTGGTACTCTACACAATGAGCCTTAAACTCTTCATGCTGTGTGACTTAGAAAGAATACTTCTAGGAAGCCATTCTACAAATGTAATCCAATATACAGGGGAATCTACTTGCATTAGTTTTAAAAATCTTGGTATTATTTGTAATTTGAATCTTCCAATTTGGTGTAAATATACAGCAAGAAGGAAGTGATTGACACATTATTAAATATTGCTTAAAAACCATTAACACCACAAAACCTGTAGTAATATAGCAATAAAACTATTTGATATATTAAATCCAAAATGCACTATGTTTATAAAATGATTATAATAATGTAAAATAAATACAGAATAATAAAATGGGAGAACACATTAACACATCAGCATGCTGACATTATGCAAGTAGAGAGATTGGAATGTTGTTTTTCCTTTATTTTGTTTATCTAAAATTTTTTAATAATAGAATAATTTTCTCATACTTTCTTTTATGAAAACAGAAACCATTTGATTAAGAAATAAGGATTGATGGTGCTTTTTCAGGAATTTACCACAAATTTAACTATAAAATTTACCCTAAAGAAACATACATAAGCTTTAATGATTTCACAGAATCTGGCTTCAATTAACTTAAAATTCATACAATTTAGATTTTAATCTAATGCTTATTTCTCCTAGAGTCCTCTCTATATCTCTTTCTAACTGGACTTACAGCTTTAGCACATCTCATTATAAAAGTTATCTTCTCTGTTTTTTGGTCATTCCACTTTTCAAAGCAGTGAAAATGTTCTTTCTTCTGTTGATTTAAATCAGTTTCTTTATAGATTACATTCCCATGTTTCGAGGTCTAATCCCTGTTTTACATGCTGTCTTCCAAAAGTATAGACTCTAATCATGCAAAAACAATGCAAAACAAATAGAAACCAAACAACAAAATACACAGATTTCCATTTACCTGGCATTGAGTCTCCTCAGTATTTTAGTCACACTATTCTTAATGCATTTGAAATTTATCTTTAATCTTCCTTAAATTTTATCACTGAGATTTGAGTACATTTCTGTAGTTTTGATCTCACTAGCCCAGAGCAGGAAGAGATCATCACCTTTTTTCCATTCCATTAATGAATCTTAAAATATAATTAGCTTCTTTTGGCTTCATAGGGAAAATGTTTTTAAAGGGGCATAGTTTATAAGCAGAGATTACTTTTGAGCTTTAAGCTTGATCATAACTGGCTTTGTAATAAAAAAATCAATTTCTATGTTTCCATCCTCTCAGCTTTCTAGAAATCAATAAGACTACCAAAAACACCCCACAAAACATGCATTCAACTCAATAAGGTGTTAGTGAATCAATGCAAGCAAAGAAAAATTATTTTATGGGAGCAAAAACTTACACTCTATGAAATTTAACTGCTTAATCATACCGTGCAGTACATTTCAAATATGTCTTGAGAGAATAGGAACTATATCAAAAATTTTCTTTACTTTGCTTTTATATATTTCTTATAGCAAAGAGTATTCATCTATTTAAGACACATTTAAAAAAATTTCCTGACCCAAAGATATATTATTGAGTGACCGAGACATATGAGTTTTATTCAACCTATTCTGTCTTTACTTAAGATGCTTCCTTGAATTATAGTTGACATAAATTGATTTGAGGACTTCAAGAACTGGCTTCTTTCAATTCTCTGTAAGATTTCATTGATTATTTTTTCTTGGATTGAATCTTTAGAATACCACGTGCAGTGTATTCCTGTTTTTCATGCACATTAATAAATTAATAGTATTCTATGCTTACTAAAGCCTAGTTTTCTGAGAATTTTTAAAATGAAGACACTTTTATTTTAGATCCAAGTCATTAGGTTGGTCACTTTATCTTTATACATAAAATAGCTTAAAAAGTCCTGGCAAGGATGTCGTATTCTTTCCCTAAATTTGAATACACGGTACTCTCACCTGTGCAGAAAGACCACTGGGTGCAGGAACTTGTGTTTCCTTATAGTTTATCAACAGATAGGTTGCAGAACAGTGATGACTGCTTTGAAGCACAACTTTAAAGTGTGGTTTTAAATTGGGTAATCATTAATAATAGAATTCTCAACTTGGAGCTTTAAACACAGTGTACAAAAGCAAATAAACGGGCTTGAAAAGCCATTATGGAGAGGAAGCATATTATATTGAAATGAACAAAATATATTAGCACTACTTGAAGCACTATGTAGTAGGCAGATATTTTTCATATAAACAGGTGAGGGAGTAGCCTGTCTTCACTCTGTAGTATAGAATACATGGCATTAACAAACTCTCAAACACTTTTTTCTTGAGGTTGTTAACTAAAATATACATACATATTTCTTATGGCATTTTGCCCCAACGTTCTACTCTATTGCTCAAATTTTTATGATTACATGAAAATGTGGTTCATTTAGACCTTTTGGCTAAGAGCAACACTTACTAATGTCCCAATTCTTTTGGTCTACAGAAAAGGTCTTATCTCAATATTTGGCATCATGAAGAGATTCTGTTGTGATAAAAAACTAATCGTAGGATGGAATACTTACTACTTAAAATTGGTATAATCTTTGACAGTATCATCCACCATATGCACACTCTCACACATGCACACAACCCACTTTATATTTCTTAATGTCACAAACCAAAATTATATTATTATTTTTAGGTTATTTATTTCTGCCTCTCCAAATAGAATACACACACAAAAAAGTTTTTATTGGTTCAACTGCTGGAGCCACAGTGTCCAGTAGAGTGCCTTCATTGCAGTAGGTACTCTTATTTTTTATTAAATAATCTAGTTAGGCCGGAAGCGGTGGCTCACGCCTGTAATCCCAGCACTTTGGGAGGCTGAGGTGGGTGGATCACGAGGTCAGGAGATCGAGACCAGCTTGGCCAACATGGTGAAACCCCATCTCTACTAAAAATACACACACACACACACAAATTAGCTGGGCATAGTGGCACATGCCTGTAGTCCCAGCTACTCGGGAGACTGAAGCAGGAGAATAGCTTAAACCCACCATTGCACTACTGTACTCCAGCCTGGGCGACAGAGTGAGACTCCATCTCAAAAAAAAAAAAAATCTAATTAAAGACATTATATAGAAATACGTAATAGGTAAGTAAATAAATACCGAATGTGTAAGTAATTCAATAAGTGAACAATATTTGTAATAGTAGGACCCTTGTCTTCATTTAAAAACACAGAAACAACAGGGCTTACTTAAAATTTACAATAAGATGCTACAAAGAAAACATTGGTCCAATAGTTATATATTTTATGGTATTTTTGGATCAGTGATTAAAAAAACGGAAACTTTCATAATGGCAATTAGTTTACTGGCATTAACTTCTTAGCAGTGAATATGAAGTAGCAATGAAAAAATCTAAAGAAAACTATCTTTGAGAATTTGGAAATGGAGTCTTAATGAAAATAAGATGTAAAAGATCAAAATTGTGACCATTTGTATAGATGAAGTTTTAGAAGTTATTGGAGTGCTTATATTCACAGAGTCAGTTCAAGGGTTGATTTTTTGGAGGTTTAATATGGATATATTTAATAGCATATAGCCAGGTAATAGTGGACATTTCCATCAGTTTTTCTGGCTGCTGTCCCTAGTTATAGACTCTTGAACATAATCTCAAATGTAATTGGTCTTCTCCTATTGAACTCAACTTCTTCATTTAGTTTTCCCTTTAGACTTTATCTTTTGGGTTTCAGCCTAAAGCTACTGTTATAGACACATATGGATGTATACTGAATATATATATATATATATATATATAGAGAGAGAGAGAGAGAGAGAGAGACATATATACAGCATGTGTATATTTACATATTTATATTTTATATTTCTTGGGAGCTATCTCTGTACATGTGCTTTATTCACATTGAGACCCATGTTGCCCTGCATTAAAAAAAATGCCAGAGCCCAACTAAAATTTCCATATGCTACTTTAATTTCATCATTTCCTTTTCAGGGATGATTCAACAATGTTTAACTCAACAAATATGTGTTGAGCACTTTCTATGGGACAGGTACTCTAAATCCTACAAGTATAACACTTAACAAAACAGACAAAGGTCCGTGTTCTCATAGGACTAATGTCCTTGTAAGGAGTAACATGTAACAAACAACAGACCTACTGAATAAGCTAATGATGTGGTTTAGTAGAAGCTGATAAAAGCTGATGGGAAAGAAAAAGGTGAGCAGGTGATAGGAGAATCAGAAGTATGGAAAATAAGTGTCAGCAACAATTTTACATTATTAGAGCTGTGGTTATTAAGGGTGTAGAATGTGAGTACAAGTTTAAAGACTTACTTTGACTGATAAACTGCAATATATGTAAACTAATGTGGAGGTAGAAGTGACTGAGGCAGAGAGATCAGTAAGGGGGAAATCATGATTGCTCATTTTAATGGCCATCAGGTAGTGCATTATCCAGAGACATTTTGTATTGGAGATATTTAATGGAATAAACCTTAAGATATTCAGGCAACAGTTTGGAATTCAAGTGCAGCACTTTGCAGTGAATTTGAGATTGTAGGTGACTTTTTTTTTTCTGCATCTAACCACCTTTTCTATGTTTGGGGTCTCCCTTTACATTATGAGGTAGTTTCTTACTCTAGAAACAAAAAGATGCCGGGGAAAATTTTCCTAGCCCTCCTTGCAGCTGTAGTCCAGATTCACCTTCAAGGCTCTAATGATATGATTTATCTATGCAGATTTTAAAACAAAAAGCTAGTACATTAAAAGCGAGGGTAATATATACTCTCTTTTTTAAGGGGGCAGAAAAGTGCCACTTACAGCAGTTTTCAGAGTTAGGAATAGATGCACTTAGATAATGGTGCAGCAACAAGATCTGTTCCTGGTCCTGTTTTCATGTGACCATTTCTATGACACTTTGTAAGAGTTGTTTCTGACTGTCTATCCTCCAGACCAAGCTCCATAGCCCTTCCCCCAAATTCTGTGTTTAGCAAAACATCCTTTAATAAATTGGTTTTCTGACTGATTCAGGCAGAGTTACAATTGTTTAGGAATACAAAACAAAGCAAAACTACTAACTGACAGTGGGACCAAAGGCATATATGAAGACGTCACATATGAATACTTATAATGATTCAAATTAAAGCATAAAGAGTACAAATAAAATAATTGAGAACTAAAGAAAATAAAAAGAATTGAGTGGGAATATTTGATGGAATATACTTGGAAGGAGAAAGAAGAATCTAAACAGGAGTAGTCTTAATATGGGAGAAAAACCACTAAATGCTTTGTAAATAATAAGATTAGAGAGTATTTCAGGGAAGCCTCAAATTCAACAGAGATCATTGAAAACTTTATTCAGAATTTTTAAGAGCTTTTTTTTTAGTAAAGAGATTGTTTAGTGACATTCTCACAAACTCACAGCTACCTAAATTAAGAAAGCACCATGAGGTAATCACATTAGTAATCTAACTAGTAGTGTCCTTTGCATCAATTCAACCACATTCACCACCATCAGCACATAATTTAGTGCTTAATTCCTTCAATTATATATATATATATATATATATATATGTAAATTTGTCAAGCTTGCCAGGTAACAACTTCCAAGGGGGTATGCAATATTATTTATATTTTCCTTATGTCCTAGTCTAAGATACTGCACTAGAATGTTCTCCAAACTATCTAGAGGCTGTCTTTGTGTTTCAAGGTATCTGTCATATCCCTACTTACTTTTGCTGCCTTAGCCTGTTTCTTGACACATGCAATTTTCCATTCTGCATTTCACAGCCAAGTAGACTCTCAGTTATGTCATCATAATTTTGTTTTCAATTCAGGTCTTTGGTTCATGAGTTGAACATCTTCTCTGCACTTTGTTATGTATATCTGTGCATTTTCTCAACGCCCAAGGGAAGAATACACAGAAGTGTGTGATTCTAACACTCACCCACCACTGAGGTCTGGAAGTGGAGCATAGGTCCTTTAGCAATCTCAGCAAAACCTTTTGGGGTTCCACTGATTCAGTTGCTAAGAAACTTGTTATTCAGAAATTTTGAGAATAGCTTTGGCTTCTTCCACTGACCTCCCTCTTGTAGATGAGGTTCTTGAACCACTTTGAGTGCTGAATATCAGCTTCCTATACTGGTATTGAATACAATTGAAACCTCTGCTTACTGCTGTCTCCTCCATGGACACATAATTGATTTCCAGAAATTTGTTCTGGTTATTTTAATTAAAGATAACAAAAAGCTGTTGCCTGTCACCTGTCATCATCTCAAACGAACCTGACTCTTAACAGAAGATCCAGAAGTAAACTCTCCTAGAAGTTTGTCTTCATCATCTGTGACACAGGCTTTTCTGCTCATTAATTATTTTGAGTGTTCATGAATAACGTAAAATCACTGAGCAGCAAAATTACAAGATGTAGTCCCAAAATTTCAATTTTAGATATTTCAGAAAAAAACATGACTTGCAAACTTCTTTACTGGCAATTTCTTATCTGCAGAGTGACTAGATTAAAGAGTACCTTTGGAAGTTAGATATAACATATCACATTTTCCTGTTAACAGCATTGTCCTTAGACCTGGGCAGGGAGGCAGCTGCTTTACACTCCACATATGTGGTCTGTGGCAGCAGGCCACAGACATACTAAAAGGCTATGAAATAAATTAAGGGCAGCTATAAAATTATTCTAATCAAATCCAGAACTTGAACAGTTCAGATGAAATACCTGGACTGCCTTAGTCTTTAATTAATGAACATTTAATTATGATCAATATAATAAGAATATAAAAAGGCAATTATTTCTATCAAATTCAGATCTCAGAAGCAACAAATGCAGCTCTGATCTATTAGAAAGATAAAATATATTCAGAAAATTAGCAGATTCTATGAAAACTCATGAAAATATTCATCACATCTTTCTGGCATTGTAAAAATGTTTCTATCAAAACAGCTTCTGATTCAGTTTAACTACATAAAATTACTTTGGGTTACAGGGCAGAAATTTCAGTATTTTATTTTGAATCATTTTTAAAATGGAAAAAAGAAAATGTAGTAATTAGCTTTTAAATACTAACTTAAAATGCAATGTATTTTGCTTCTACTATTACATGTACTACAAGTTAGTTTCACATTTAGTTTTTCCAATTAAATTATCTATGGCTAGAAACATTTGATACTCTATTAAAAGACCACAAATCCACTTGGAAACAAAACATTTCATATCTAATTGTAGAACTGAAGAACAAAGCTAACTAATTAAAAATATCAACAGTATTGAATCAAGACAAATACATTAGAAAACAGAACATTAGTATAATATTCTTAAAAGGATGGTATCTTGTATCTACATGTAATCCCACATAATGGTGTACATGTTTTGGTCTTTACTAGCATAGTGTGTACTAGAAAAAAAATTTCTGAATTTATTAAGTATGATTTTAAAATTTGATCTATAATGAACAAATTCATATGAAGGATAAAAATAATTTAATGACAGAAATAATCAGTATGTGGGATGGAAAATTTAAGCTAATATTATTAATCAAATGCATAATACATTTAGAGATCCTGTAATACTTAAAATAAATAATTAGGAAAAATGTGACTTCTGGAATGGTAGCGTGGTAAGTTCTGCAAACCTTCTTTCCAGAAAATGATCATATTGAAGAAACTATTTTAAAGAAGTCTTTGGAAATTGTTTCATAGCAAATAAATATTTTTTTCAAGAAAATCTTCTAAATTGTGATACCAAGAGCCAGTCTGTGTCACTTAGCCATGACTTGCTTTCTCCTTCTCTCTCCCATCTCAAAATTTCTTTTATTTCCTTTTTTTTTTTTTTCAGACTCTCCAATCTGAGTGAGTAGGGCCAAGAAAATGAGGCTCTCTCTCTCTCCTCATCTCAGTTAAAGGATATGTTATCTCACCAGGAGGGGCAGGTTGCCAACTTTTCTCATACCTCTCAGCAATAAATTGCACAGGCTAAATTCCTAACATTTGAAGCTAGAGGTTGGGGTTTTTCTTCATTCACTCAACCCCGTCTAGTAGAGTGGAGGCTCACTGCTAGTCATGGCAAGCCAAAAAAAATTGAGGAAATGATTGTCCCTCTCCAGCTCCCTCACAGAGTGGAAGATACATGTGGGGGAGGCAGCCTGCGAAGATGAGCAGTTACCTTCCCTACCAACATGATAAGCCCTTGGAGATGCCTGTAGGCACTGGTTCTGAACGTCATCCCTAATTTGCCCTGTGTCCCCTGCTGGTCCTCAAAGGCACCCTACCCAGGGGCACTTGGCGGGACTTAACTGAGGAGGAGCTGGTGTGTCTCTGTCACTCTGGAAAAATTACACCACTCTCCTTGCTCTCACTCTAGAGCAGAGGTTCCAATGTTTTGCCATGGTAAAGAGGGAGTCCATAAAAACAGAGCACTCCAAAGCTCTCTATAAAGCAACTAACTTAATTGGAAACTGACTGTTGGGACATTCAAGCTAAGAGTTGCTCAGAAACAAAGGCTGTTTTGATGATAAGCAATTATGAGCAACATGCTAAAATATAGACCGGAAACTTTACCATAGAGACAACCAGATGAAGAGACAACTAACAATGCCCCTCCTGTGTTCAGAACAAACCACAAAACTTGCCTCAAAAACTAGCTCTGCAATTGGCCTTGGTTGACTTGGATCAGACTGTGGGAGCAATTTATACTTTAGGGTATCATGGAAAACAACAGACCAGTCAGCCTTCCATTAGTGGAGGCTAAAATCTGGGTGTGCTATATGCAGAGGCAGACCCCTTAACAGAGAGAGCAGGGAGAGAGATAGTCCAATAGAATCCTGCTAAAACCACTGCTATTCTAAGGTGATTATCCTCTGCCTGAGGCTATGTCCTCTGAGAACATCTATGGCTTCACACTGAAGGAGAAACAGACTTTACTAAAATGGTACAGCCAAGTCAATAAACAAGAAGAAACCAAAGTTGAAATTTATAAATATCTCATTGCTTCTTGTAAGAAGTGGATACACTAAGTGTAGAACTAAAAAAGATAACTATTTTCAAATTTACACAGTGATTTTAAAGCTTGTCAAAGTCAAGTTGGAAATGTTCACGGTTACATGACTGATAAAGAAAAAAAAATACAAGCCAGAATTTTGGCTGAATATCTAGAAGCATTCCTTTTTCATATATGATAAATTGGTTGAATTTGTCTCTAGAAAAAGTCCTCAAAGATGTTGAAATAATAATATTTCTTGGAGCAACTCTAAGACTATATATGATATTTTCTGAATCTGCCAAAATATTTGAGAACCACACTCAGGCACAATATGGGAATGCAGACTAAATGTTGTTAAAGCGATTGTTTTAAGTATAGAAAAATGTAAGATCACTAGAGGTAGTAAGCAAAATAACAGAAAATCCTTCAAGAATCATGCAAGAAAAAACACTAAATTTGTACTATTCACAATTATTTGGAATAAATTATTGCTTACTAAAATTGCTATGTTAGCAATAGCTTACAAAAAATCAAACATCTACAGTATGCTATTTTATTTTTACTATAATTAAATTTATTTGATTTGTTAATCAAAATAAACTGCATTGAAATATTCAATATGTAGAATTTCAACAAAATAAGGAAATTGGAATAAAAACTAAAAACATTTACATGATTATGAAATAAAATAGTCACATACAAATAATACTGCAATTAATATCTGCAGAATTTATATTCTGGCCATTATAAATCAAGGTATGTCCCTGATGGAAAAATAAATAAATAAAATAAACAATAGAAACAGAATAAAAACTATTTTGACTCAGAATCCTATGTTATTTTTTCCTTTTTGTGGTGTGTGTGTAATTAACAGTGAGTTTTCTGAAGAGGTCTTATTGCTAGCCACTTGGAATACTGTTGTTACCTGGTTAGAAAATATAGCATTAAACATCTGATTTATTTACTCATCTTCAAACATAAGGAATTATCAAAAACGGTTTGAAAGTCTTTGGACCATTCAAAAACCAGTTGAACATGTTTATGTTTCATAGATAGAACAGAAAACTCAGATTAAGAAGGGGTTAAAGTCAATGAAATGAAGTTCTCTAGGGAAGAAAGCAGAAGAGATATCTAGGAATGGAAACTTTAAAGGAAAATGGAATGAAATCACATTATAAATTGTAGAGTGACTGGAACCTAATCTATGAAAACGGATAGGGCTGTGACCTGTATTGAGTTATTGCTCAGGAGGACAAGATTAATCAGAAATAGCCAAGCAACCAGGACCTAGGCTGAGACAGCAATGTACATGAACTGCCAATAGATGACCTGATTCTGAAAGCTATAGTCATATGGGTCAGGGAGAAATAATCAGAGTCTATCTATCAGACCAAAAAGAATGAAGAAAAAGAGATTACAAAGGCAGAATAAAAAGAAAATATTTTTTCATAAATTCCTTCTTACACTAAAAAGAATGTCAAACTACAAAAAAACATTAAATAATTAAGAAAGCCAATTCGCTCAACAGAAGATTTTGCCCCTTTCAATCTTCATATAATCAAGAAATCTATTGTAAAAAAAAAAAACTATAAGAAGCACATATAACAGTATTATAAAGGGAAGAAAAACATGCATAAAAATTAATGAATTACTACAAAGAAAAAATGGCCACAATAATAAAAAATAGTTGAAGATTAAAATAACCAATTATAAATAATAGAAATTTTAAAATGTTATTAAAATAGAGAAACAAGAGACAAGATAAATTCTAGACTTCTAAAAGGAAGTAATTATTTCAAAATAATCTTGGAATTCACCCATAAATCAGCACACCACCATATGGAGGTTGATATAATGAAAAATATGCTAAAAACATTAAATTTAAGATAAAAATGTCAAATCATATTTTTACAGAAACAAAACAAATATATTAGAAAACATGAGGGAGGCACAATCTTTAAAAACATGACTGAGAATTTTCCTGAAATAAAGAACGAAGAATCTTCATATAAAGTTTTGTTTTATTTTATTTATTTATTTTTTTTGAGATGGAGTCTCATTCTGTCACCCAGGCTGGAGTGCAGTGGCGTCATCTCAGCTCACTGCAAGCTCCGCCTCCTAGGTTCACGCCATTCACCTGCCTCAGCCTCCCTAGTAGCTGGGACTACAGGCACCAGCCGCTACACCCAGCTAATGTTTTGTATTTTTAGTAGAGACAGGGTTTCACCATGTTAGCCAGGATGGTCTCGATCTCCTGACCTTGTGATCCGCCCGCCTCGGCCTCCCGAAGTGCTAGGATTACAGGCATGAGCCTCGCACCCGGCCTCTTCATATAAAGTTTTATTTAAAGTGCCAAATAGGAAAAGTAAAACTATGTACATAAGTTTATGTACATATATAGTAAAACCCTGTGACATCAAATACATAAGAGAAAAAAATTAAAACAACTGATGAAAGAATGGCAAATTATCCACAATGGAATGTTAATTGTCTTGACAGCAGCAATATCTCATTAGCAATAGTAATTGACTAAAAGATTGTGACATAGTAAGACATATATTTGGTCTCTGCCTTCACTTTCTGACACTGAGCTTCTGAAACACTTGTAATTTCCTAAATGATAAGGTGATAGGAGCGTCTTCTGTTATATTAGGTCTCAATCCTTGGTTCCTGACATA